>NC_000014.9:74157167-74308682 GCF_000001405.40 Homo sapiens | reverse complement strand
ATTAGCTGTGCGTGGTGGCGGGTGCCTGTAATCCCAGCTACATAGGAGGCTGAGGCAGGAAAATCGCTTGAACCCGGGAGGCAGAGGTTGCAGTGGGCCGAGATCACACCACTGCCCTCCAGCCTGAGCAACAAGAGCGAAACTCCATCTCAAAAAAAAAAAGAAGCCTTGAAGGGCTTTAAGTGGACTGTTGATCTGGTTTACATTTGTTCAGATTTCTCTGGCTGCTTTGTAGAAACTGGATTAGAGCAGGAGGAAATTCAAGTGTAGAAATCCAGTTAGAAGGTTTTGCAGAAGGACATGAAAATGAGATAATAGTAGCTGGTCTAAAGGGGTAGAAGAGGAACCTATAAACTAAAAGAGTGTTAAATGACATATGATCAATTGCAATGTGTAGACCTTATTTGGATCCCAATTTTTTTCTTTTTTTGTAGAGATGGGGGTCTAGCTATGTTGCCCAGGCTGGTCTTGAACTCCTGGGCTCAAGCAAACCTCTGGCCTTGGCCTCCCAAAGTTCTGAGACCACAGGTGTGAGCCACTGTGCCCAAGTGGATTGTGAATTTTTTAAAAACCTAGAAAAGAAAAAAATAAAATAAAAAGAAAACATCGATCACAGTTATGAGCTAATTAGAAATTTGAACTAATTTTAAGTTGGCTCTAAACCCGGTGGCTTACACCTGTAATCCCAGCACTTTGGGAGGCTGAGGCAGGTAGATCACAAGATCAGGAGTTCGAGACCAGCCTGGCCAATATGGTGAAACCCTGTCTCTACTAAAAATACAAAAATTAGCCAGGCGTGCTGGTGGACGCCTGTAGTCCCAGCTGCTTGGGAGGCTAAACAGGAGAATTGCTTGAACCCGGGAGGCGGAGGTTGCAGTGAGCCAAGATCGCGCCACTGCACTCCAGCCTGGGCAACAGAGCGAGACTCCATCTCAAAAAAAAGAAAAAAAAATTGGATCTTATCCAAAAGATAACTCTGAAATATAAACTCAAATATTAACAACCAATATGATATATGGCCTTTTGCTATGCTTCATTATGATTTTTCTATGCAGATATTTACATCTATATATATTTTCATAGTTGAGATCACATTTTACATCAAGTTTAGTATTGGTGTAATACTTTTTTTGTTCAATGCAATACACTCTTTTTTATTGTGAAAGCTGAATTGAAATTAAAAGATCTATAAAAAACTGTCATTTTTGGCCTTCAAGAGCACCAACTCTCATGATCAAAAAAGGCCACAACAGGGCCAGGAGCAGTGGCTCACGCCTGTAATCTCAGCACTTGGGGAGGTGGAGGCGCGTGGATCAACTGAGGTAAGGAGTTTGAGACCAGCCTAGCCAACATGGTGAAACTCCATCTCTACTAAAAATATAAAAAATTAGCCGGGCGTGGTGGCGGGTGCCTATAATCCAACTACCCAGGAGGCTGAGGCAGGAGAATCACTTGAACTTGGGAGGCAGGGGTTGCAGTGAGCCCCAATCCAGCCTGGGCAACAAGAGTGAAACTCCATCTCAAAAAAAAAAAAAAAAAAAAAAAGGGCCACAACAGTTAAGAATGTATTACTTGATTTATTGTATACTAAGTGGTGGGCACAGAGCAATTCTCCTTATAAAGTTGACAATTAGCTTCACTCAGAACATTTTAAATAATGCACATTAAAACAAGTATTCATTTTACAAGTTGTTCTGCAATCTAAACATACAATAGCTTGGAGGACAATATTTAGAAAACAAAAGCCAATGTAAAAAGACAGATTAAAACAACTAGAGGCCAGGAGCGGTGGCTCCGCCCTGTAATCCTAACACTTTGGGAGGCTGAGGCAGAAGCATCGCTTGAGCTCAGGAGTTCTAGACCAGCCTGGGCAATATAGTGAGACCTCATCTCTATTTAAAAAAAAAAAAAAACTTAAAAATTAGCTAGGCATGTTGGCGCATACCTGTAGCCCCAGCTACTCAGGAGATTGAGGTGGGAGGAGTTGGAGACTGCAGTGAGCTGTGATTATTATCCCACTGCACTCTACCTGGACCACAGAGCAAGAACCTGTCAAAAAAAAAAAAAAAAACCACACATACACAGACACACACACACACACACACACAAACCAACTACACTAGAACAGTATAGGTTTTATATGGCTTGAATTTCACAGTTTTCTTAACTGCATCATCAGTATCAGAAATCTGTTCTTGGCCAGGTGCAGTGGCTCACATCTGTAATCCTAGCACTTAGGGAGGCAAAGGTGGAGGATCACTTGAGCCTAGGAATTTAAGACTAGCCTGGACAACACAGTGAGACACCTCCCCCCAACCCCTGCCTTCTCTACAAAAAAAATTTTTTTTAATTAGCTGTGTGTGATGCCAGCACCTACAGTCCCAGCTACTAAGGAGGCTGAGGTGGATCACTTGAGCCCAGGAGATGGAGGCTGCGGTCAGCTGTGATCCCACCACTGCACTCCAGCATGGGCAACAGAGCAAGACTCTGTCTCAAAAAAAAAAAAAAAATATATATATATATATATATATATATATGTATATTTTTACATATATATATTTTACATATATATTTTTACATATATTATATATATATAATCTTTAAATTTAAATTTTAAAAAATCTGTTCCTTCAGCTGGCTTCTTTGCTCCAAATTCAAAGAAATACCTTCTCTTCCTGGTTTCATTTCACCTTCTGGATCCATCCAATATTATTTAATATCAATTACCCTTTAAAATCCCAAACACTGGCCCGGCTTGGTGGCTCACACTTGTAATCCTAGTACTTTGGGAGGCCAAGGTGGGCAGATCACTTGAGGTCAGGAGTTCAAGACCAGCCTGGCCAACATGGTGAAACCCTGTCTCGACATAAAAGACAGAACTTAGCCAGGCATGGTGGCGAGTGCCTGCAGTCTCAGCTACTCAGGAGGCTGAGGCAGGAGAATTGCTTGAACCTGGGAGGCAGAGGTTGCAGTGAGCCAAGATCGTGCCATTGCGCTCCAGCCTTGGGGGACAAGTCTAAAAAAAAATCCCAAACACTAATGTACCTCATTTTCCTAACCTGAAACATCATGTTATCATCTGTGCTGCTGCTGCTGTTCTCTTTGGAAGATGATAGAGCTCTTCAAGTTTCACCAGTCTTTTGCTTCTTTACAGGTCTTTCTGGAGCAACCTGCTTTTTCCTCTTTAACTTTTTGTCAACATCACTGTCAGAACCGCTGCCAGAAGAGCTTGAAGAAGTAAGTTCCTTTGATTTGGGCATTACTCTGCTCTGCTGCACTCCAGTAGCCTCCCGCTTGCTCACTGGTAACTCTGGTGTATTACTTCTTCTTCTTCTTTTTTTTTTTTTTTTTTGAAACAGTCTCACTCTTGTCACCCAGGCTGGAGTACAATGGCACAATCTCAGTTCAATGCAACCTCCGCCTCCTGGGTTCAAGTAATTCTCCTGCCTCAGCCTCCCAAGTAGCTGGGATTACATGCACCCGCCACCACACCTGGCTAATTTTTGTACTTTTAGTAAAGACGGGATTTTGTCATGTTGGCCAGGCTGGTCTTGAACTCCTGACCTCAGGTGATTTGCCTGCTTCGGCCTCCAAAAGCGCTGGGATTACAGGCGTGAGCCACCGTGCCCAGCCTGCTACTTCTTAAAAGTTTACAGTAATAGACAATGCTGAGGCACCCTGGGACAGTAATGCCACCGAATACCAAACTAGGACATTTTTGAGACTGAAAGGGGACAAGATCTGTAAACCTAGATTACCCTAGAGAGGTGACGTTGCTTGCTTTAATACTTTGGTTGCCTTATTAATTTTTCAAAAATTGCATCCTATTTTTTTGGTTTTCAAAATAAGAAAGACATACTTGAATAAAGTTATTTCCTCTTCAAAGTCTTTCTAGATTCCACTTTTCCCCATGCTGAGTTAAATGCCTTTCTCTTTGGTTCTGGGGCAGTGGTTCTCAATGCTAGGGGGTGGGGTAAAGCTGGAATTTTGGTCCTTTCTCCCCTAAGGGACATTTGGCAATGTTTAGAGACATTTTGGGATGCCTAGGTCAGAAGGAATGCCACCGGCATCTAGTGCGTAGAGGCCTGGGATACAGCTAAACATCCTACATTGCATAGGAAAGCCTACACAGCAAAGAATGATCAGGCCCCAAAACTTAATGGCGCCAAAGTTGAGAACCCCTGCTGTATGGTATGTTTGTCATAGCACTTCATAAAGACAGCTGTAGGCCGGGCACGGTGATTCACACCTGTAATCCCAGCATTTTGAGAGGCCAAGGTGGGTGGATCACCTGAGGTCGGGAGTTCGAGACCAGCCTGACCAACATGGAGAAACCACGTCTCTACTAAAAATACAAAATTAGCCGGGTATAGTGGTGCATGCCTGTAATCCCAGCTACTCGGGAGGCTGAGGCAGGAGAATCGCTTGAACCCGGGAGGCACAGGTTGCAGTGAGCCAAGATAGCACCATTGCACTCCAGCCTGAGCCACAAGAGCGAAACTCCGTCTAAAACAAAAACAAAAACAAAAAAAGGCCAGGAGCGGTGGCTCACTCTTGTAATCCCAACACTTTGGAAAGCCAAGGCGGGCAGATCACCTGAGGTTAGGAGTTCAAGACCAGCCTGACCAATATGGAGAAACCCTGTCTCTACTAAAAATACTAAATTAGCTGGGCGTGGTGGCACATGCCTGTAATCCTAGCTACTCGGGAGGCTGAGGCAGGAGGATGGCTTCAATCCGGGAGGCTGAGGTTGCCGTGAGCCGATATCGCGCCATTGCACTCTAGCCGGGGCAACAAAAGCAACACTCCGTATCAAAAAAAAAAAAAAAAAAAAAAAAATCTGTAATTGTCAACTGATTGACCTACCCAGCTAGACTGCAACTTTCATAAAGACAAGTGATACATGCATGTTGTAGAGTGTTTGGCTTGCAGTTGAAACTTAATAAGGATTGGAGGAAAGTGAGAAGACACATCCAGATTCAAATTTAGGGACCTGTGGGATCATGCTGTTTGGGTTTTTTTTGAGCCATTTCCCACCTCCCTTTGGGTACTAATCAGTCAACTGATAAGCATTTCATTCATTCAACTATCTATCTTATCTATCGATCATTATCATCTATTTATTTGTTTTTGAGACAGGGTCTCTCTTTGTCGCCCAGGCTGGAGTGCAGTGGCACAGTCACGGCTCACTGCAGCCTTGACCTTCCGGGCCCAAGTGATTCTCCTGCCTCAGCCTCCAGAGTAGCTCGGACCACAGGCGCTCGCCACCATCCCCGGCTAATGCTTTTGTCTTTTGTAAAGGCGGGGTCTTGCCATGTTGCCCAGGCTGGTCTTGAATTCCTGGGCTCAAGCGATCCTCCCGCCTTGGCCTTCCAAAGTGCTGGGATTACAGGAGTAACCCACCGGGCCCGGCTGGAAGCCTAATTTATACTTTTTTAAAGATCATGCTGGCTTCTCTGGGAGAATATGTAAAACATCTATTATACACAGAATCTAAAATACTTGCCATAAAGTAGTTACACTCTCGGATACCTATTGTCAAAAGGGAAGTCTCCCAGAAAATATGGGGGCGCTGTAGCCGCCGGGTCAGCCGAGTCCACTCTCTGGTACTTTTAGAGACGTCGGTCGCTTCCGGGAGAGTCCGCGTCTCCCGCACCTTCCTCTCTATCAAACGCCGTCTCTGTGGTAGCCGGGGCCCCGCCCCTCCTCGGACTCTACCCAGTACTGAACTAGGGGCAGCTGGGCTCCAGAGTCCCTCGGGTCTCAGGTCATGGCGGTCGCGGGGCCCGCGCCCGGAGCTGGCGCCAGGTAAGCAGGGCGGTCGGGGAGGAGGTTTGGGAGCAGGAGTTCCGGGCTGTAGGGAATGGGCTTTCCTGCCCTCCGTGCCTCGTCCGCCGCCCTGGCGCCCCCGTCTCGCCCCCGTGACTTCTGAGAGAAAGAGGAGCTCTCGAAGGGGCGTCCGCCCTCCCGCCGCTCTAGGCCGCTCCGCACCGGCCGCGGCCCCCTCCGTTCTTGGCCGGACTTGTGCCATCTCCTGCGGTGTGGGACCCTCACCCTCGCAACTGGCATTCTTTTTTTGAAAAGAAGAACCTCAGGTGCACAAAATTGAGTTGATCCTTCTCAGTTCTTGACACCCTGTGGGCCAATGCAAGGCTCCTTGTTTATTTTATCACTTCCTCTCTTCGTTCCTATTCCCAGACCCCTTTCACTCCCCTTTTCAGACAGCCACTCTGGTGTGTTATATAAGTGGCTTTACGGTCCACCTTGGGTAAATTTGTGCAAGTGTTACTTTGAAATCTATATAGCGGTTTCGAATTCTTCAATATAATATGCTGTGATTTTTCTTTAAACCTTTTTCCTCAACATTGTGTTTTTGAGTCCATCCATGCTAGTCATCTTGTTTTCACTTCTGAGTGCTTGCATGAGGGGTGCTGTGTGCATAGACTTATTCCCCTAGTGGTGGATAGATTTTTTTCTAGTATTAACACCCCCACAAGCCACACTGTAACGAATATTCTGGCAGTTGTCTCCTTGTGCATATTGTTGCATTTCTCTGGGTATCCACCCCAGAGTTGGGTCCTGGTCATATCTAATTTTGCTGGATTGTTCTTTGGAATGGTCACACTAGTTTATACTTCCCGACGGGCAGTGCATAAAGCTTCCTGTTTCCCGGTATCCCTCCATCGTTCAGTGGCGGCTGGTTTTGTAATGTTTATCAGTCTGGGGGGTGTAAGGTGGTATCCCATCGTGTACATTTTCTTTCTTTCTTTCTTTCTTTCTTTTGAGACGGAGTTTTGCTCTTGTTGCTCGGGCAGGAATGCAGTGGCATGATCTCGGCTCACTGCAACCTCCGCCTCGGGTTCAAGCGATTCTTCTGCCTCAGCCTCCTGAGTAGCTGGGATTACAGACGCGCGCCACCACACCCAGCTAATTTTTTGTATTTTTAGCAAAGATGGGGGGGTTGGCCAGTCTGGTCTTGAACTCCTGACCTCAGGTGATCCACCCGCCTCGGCCTCCCGAAGTGCAGGGATTACACTTCCCGACGGGCAGTGCATAAAGGAATTACAGACGTGAGCCACTGCTCCCGGCCTACATTTTCATGTGTTTATTAAACGTGGGTTTTCCCTTTTTTGAATTGCCTGTTTATATCCCTTCCCACTTCTCTGTGGATTTCCTATGTTCCTGGCTTGCAGGAATTCTTGTAGGCTCTAGATTTAGATCCTGGCCATGCCCGGTGGCTCACACCTGTCATCCTATCACTTTGGGAGGCTGAGGTAGGTGGACCACTGGAGTCCAGGAGTTCAAGATCAGCCTGGGCAACATGGTGAAACCCCATCTCTACCAAAAATACAAAAATTAGCTGAGCGTGTTGACGCACGCCCGTACTCCCAGCCACTAAAAAGGCTGAGGTGGGACAGTCGCTTGAACCCGGGAGGCAGAGGTTGCCCTGAGCTGAGATCGCACCACTGCATTCCAGCCTGGGCAACAGAGCAAGACCTTGTCTCAAAAAAAAAAAAAAAAAGATTTTAGGCCAGGCGCGGTGGCTCACGCCTGTAATCCCAGCACTTTGGGAGGCCGAGGCAGGTGGATCACCGGAGGTCAGGAGTTCGAGACCAGCCTGACCAATATGATGAAACCCCGTCTCCTACTAAAAATACAAAAATTAGCCGGGCGTGGTGGCATGCACCTGTAATTGCAGCTTGTCAGGAGGCTGACACAGGAGAATCACTTGAACCAGGGAGGCGGAGGTTGCAGTGATCCGAGATTGCGCCGTTGCATTCCAGCCTGGGCAACGAGCAAAACTCCGTCTCAAAAAAATAAAGATTTCAAGTCCTTGTTGGTTTTGCACTCTGCAGATACCACCTCCAAGTCTTCTAACTTAATCTATGGCACTGTGTTGAATAAAAACATTTAACTCTAATGAAGTTAAATTCATCAGTTTTCCCCTGTATAGGTTTTTAAGGTATCTTCATTAAGACATTTTTCTACATTTCCTTCTATTAACATGATAGTGTTACTTTTCACGTTTAGATTTTTAATCCATTTGTAATTTTTTAAGTTTTTTGTTTTTGGTTTTTTTTTTTTTTTTGAGACGGAGTTTTGCTCTTGTTGCCCAGGCTCTTGTTGCAATGGCGCAATCTCAGCTCACTGCAACCTCTGCCTCCCAGGTCCAAGCAATTCTCCTGACTCAGCCTCCCGAGTAGCTGGGATTACAGGCATGAGCCACCACGCTTGGCCAAAGAATTTCCTTTGTATCCGTGGTCTGTTCCCAGCCTACCATCTTCAGCATTTGAAAACCATTCTTTCTGCATGGCCTGGACCCTCTACAGAACAATGTGGATGAGCTTAATAACTACTCCCTAAGGCTTAATTATTGTCTTGGGCTTTTCTCTGCCTCCCCACCTTCTCTTCAGGCCCAGGTTAGATCTGCAATTTCTCCAGCGGTTCCTGCAGATACTGAAGGTTTTGTTTCCTTCTTGGTCATCACAAAATGCCTTGATGTTCCTGACCCTTTTGTGCCTGACCCTACTGGGTGAGTGAGTGAGCCCAGACTAGAGGAGGGAGGGGAGCTCTGGTTTGGGGTCCCTTTCCATCTTTTTTTTTTTTTTTTTTTTTTTTGAGACAGAGTTTCTCTCTTGTTGCCCAGGCTGGAGTGCAGTGACATAATCTCAGCTCACTGCAACCTCTGCCTCCCTGGTTCAAGTGATTCTCCTGCCTTCGCCTCCTGAGTAGCTGGGATTACAAGCACCCACCACCACGCCCGACTAAACTTTGTATTTTTCAGTAAAGACAGGGTTTCACCATCTTGGCCAGGCTGATCTCGAACTCATGACCTCAGGTGATACACCCGCCTCAGCCTCCCAAAGTGCTGGGATTACAGGCGTGAGCCACCGCGCCCGGCCCCTTTTCATCTCTTTGGGGTGCTGATGAGGCAGGGACTCAGGAAGAAGCCTCCCTTCTTTTTAACCCCTCATCACTGATTTCTTACTCCTCTCCCTCCTTTCAGAGCAATTTGTGATCTACCAGGTTGGCTTGATCCCCAGTCAGTACTATGGGGTCCTGGGAAACAAAGACTTGGAAGGGTTTAAGACTCTGACATTCCTGGCTGTCATGCTCATTGTTCTGAACTCCACGGTAAGATCTTTCCCTCTCTCTGTGTCTCTCGTCCTCTCCAGTCCAGTGTGACCGTAATGCCTAGTGGAACTTAGCCTCCAGGAAGCAGGAAGCAAGCTGTGGGGGTGTGTTTCCTCCCTTTTCTGGGAACTAAAGGGATAGTTGCCTTTATTAAGCACGTTGATCTTGCTATTGGCCCACGTGGGACTGATTCCTCAGATGTTTCCACTCCTGGGCCCAGGCCACAGGTTCTGGTTTAATTCAGCATTTAGCAGAACTGATCATTGCCCCTTTCCTTCCTAGAACTCTTATTTCCGGCAGCTCATTAAAACGGCTCAGCAGCCAGAGCTGCTGCTCCTCCTCTGCGGGACCGAGGCTGTGACTCACCCTGGCACCATGTCACACCTCCCAGCCTTTGAACAGTGCTTTCTTGCAGAATGGCCTCCTCCCCTACCCCTCATTCAGTAGGGGGGCTACCACCTGCTCACTCTTCGTCATCCCTCCGTTGTCACCTCTTTCAAGTCTTTCTCAGCTTTCTCCTTTGTGTCTCCTCCACCAAACTCTGCCCTTTTTCTGTACTTAACGAATTCCTTGAGTTTACCTCGCTGTAACACTCCTCACACGCTTGTAATTGTTTTCTGGCTAAACTGTGAGCTCATAATGTCCCTAGTGCTTAGCACATAGGTGCCCTGGAAATGGTAAATGATGAGACTCAGGGCTGTACCAGAACTCAAGCCTAATGCTGTCTGCCAGGCTGTGCCACCTGTTTTCTTGGGGAAGCCACTGCTCATCGTACCATGGCCACTTTTGTTGGGTCTTCGGTCAGTAAGCACCTATGCATACAAATCTCTGTCCCAAGCTTGGGGGACAAAGGAGTAAGAACATAAATGGAATCGACAATATGGTCTCCAATCTTCAGAAGCTCATCTACTCTCAAAATAAGACAGTGTAGAAAGAGGGTCTTGCCTCTGGTAAGCCCTTTAATATTTGGTGAAGGAGGCTGGGTACAGTGGCTCACGCCTGTAATCCCAGCACTTTGAGAGGCCGAGGCGGGCGGATCACCTGAGGTCGGGAGTTCCAGACCAGCCTGACCAAGATGGAGAAACCCCGTCTCTACTAAAAATACAAAATTAGCTGGGCGTGGTGGTGCATGCCTGTAATCCCAGCTACTCGGGAGGCTGAGGCAGGAGAATCGCTTGAAACTGGGAGGCGGAGGTTGTGGTGAGCCAAGATCGCGCCATTGCACTCCAGCCTGGGCAACAAGAGTAAAACTCCATCTCAGAGAAAAAAAATTTGGTGAAGGAATGAACACGTGAGTGAGTGAGGAAGGGAAAGTCCCATGACTCGATGATTTAAAAAAGAAAAGTGCTGAGTGGACGGAGTAATCAGAGTCAGAGTGGGCTGGGATGGGTCAGCGGAGGCTCTTGCGAGCCTTGAGCTTTGAGCTGAGATTTTCAGGAAGCCATCTCTCCCTTCCCCTTGCTTCCCCCACTGCACAGCTGAAGAGCTTTGATCAGTTCACCTGCAACCTGCTGTATGTGAGCTGGAGGAAGGACCTCACTGAGCACCTTCACCGCCTCTACTTCCGGGGCCGTGCGTACTACACCCTCAACGTGCTGCGGGATGACATCGATAACCCGTAGGCGCCCCAACTCAGTCCTTTCTACACTCTGTGTGGTCCTTTCCTTCTGGCCTAGCCCTGGAGACTGCTGGTGGCAGACACCAAGGAGATCATCTGCAGTCGTTTTCAAATGCTGCTGCCCAGAGTCATGGGGGAGGGTGCCCTGCAGAGGACTCCTGGAGAAGCTGCAGGGCTGTGAATAGGCAGCTAAAAAGAAGAAGCCTGCCAGGTGCAGTGGCATGCACCTGTAGTCCCAACAACTCAGGAGGCTGAGGCAGGAGGATCACTTGAGCCCAGGAGTAGTGCACCGTGAGCACACTTGGGAATAGCCACTGTACTCTAGCCTGGGCAACATAGCAGAAACCCCCATCTCTTAAAAAAAAGAAAAATGTTAGGAGCAGCTTTCTTTTGTCCTTTTCATACTTTATATCTTAGTCTTCCAGTAAGAAGACTAAGGGGTTTCTTTAGAGGGTTCTAAAGAAAATGTCCTTGCTAGAAAAACCAGCTCTTAGATTTTCATCAGTAAAAAAAATTACCACTATCCAGGACTCAGTCTAGGATTCACATCTCCATTCTATCACCACTCAGGTTATAACTCTTAAAGTCACCAAGCCCCAGGTTCCCCTTCTGTAAAATGAGGACAATAATAGTTCCTATCTCAAAGGGTGTAGTGAGGATGAAATATCATTCATGTAATGCACATGTACAGTGCTTGACACATAGCAAGTGTTTCAGTGTAAGTTAGCTATTGTTATTTTACAGATGAGGAAGCTGAAGCCCAGAGATTGCAAGTGACTTGCCCAAGGTCACGTCACTCATTGGGAATAGGAATCAGTATGGCCCTAGTGGTGAGATGAGACATAGGGGGTCTCCTTCACACCCATCCCCTCACTCACCACCTTCCTAGCAAGCACTTTGTTGGTTGGGGTACCTCTCAGCTCAAGCTTAGCTTTGGTGCAAAGATGCGTGGGAGGCTGCTGCTGCTGCCTAACTTCTAGGCCTCTTTCTGATGGCTATGGCTTCCATCCTGCCTCTGCCCCCTGAGTAGCTGGGACTACAGGTGTGCCTCACAGCCTGGAGCTTTCACAGCCAGATAACTAAAGGGGCCAGGCTAGGGCTTATATAAGAGAAATTTGGGAGGATTGAGATAAAGGGGATAGTCTTCTTGATCATCCAAAACAGCTCATCTACCTTCAAGTTTTTCTTTGGCTCTGCTCAGAGCTGGCTCAGGCCCCTGGGTACTGGACCTTTCAGTTCCCACTTTTTCAGGGGATTAACTAAGGCACCGTAAGATGCAACTCTCTAGAACCCTGTTTAAAGGCCCTGGGATTTAGTTGCCCCTAGGAAACCAGCCTTGTCTGGTTCCCTCTTCCCATAGGGTCAGTGTTCACAGCACTGTGAGGCAAGGTCAAGAGCAGAGGTGATGTGAAAGTTTCTTGTTCTCTCTACCTTTGGGCCCATCTCCCTGGGTCCAGCTACTCTGTGTCATTGGCTCCAGGGACCAGCGCATCAGCCAGGACGTGGAGCGATTCTGCCGGCAGCTCAGCAGCATGGCCAGCAAGCTCATCATCTCCCCGTTCACCCTCGTCTACTACACTTACCAGTGCTTCCAAAGGTGAAGCCTCCCTCCTCCCCAGCCTGGTGTTTCCCCAGAGGGCCCTCAGTCAGCTCTCCCAGGTCAAGGTCCAAGAGAAGCTTATTTCCCCTCTCTCCCACCGTACCTTACCACGTGCTCACCCATCCCACGTGCTCAGGCCCCTGCCCTTCCTTTGGCCCTGTGTTGCAGTGTCACAGATATCCTGGCTCTGAGAGCTCATACCAGATGCCCCCACATAGGAGCAGAGGGCCCATTGGGCCACTCAGATTGGACAGGGGCTACCTGAGAGGGAACAGGAGTCAGGGCTGAGGCATGTGGGGATAGGTGGCACCCCACACCCTCTCCCTTCTCTCCCTCTCTCTCTATTTCAGCACAGGCTGGCTCGGGCCTGTGAGCATCTTCGGGTATTTCATCCTGGGGACCGTGGTGAACAAAACTTTGATGGGCCCCATTGTGATGAAGCTGGTGCATCAGGAGAAGCTGGAGGGAGATTTTAGGTGTGTCTCCCTCACTTGAGGTTTCTGGGCTGGGGCATAATAGTTAAGGAAGGGGATCTGGAGTAAAACTGCCTAAGTTCAAATCCTAGCTGTGCCAGTTACTAGCTGTGTGATCTTGGAGAGGTCTTTAACCTCTCCAAGCTTCAATGTTCTTGTCTCTAAAGTGGAAATGGTACCGTTGCCTACTGAGAGGATTAGGAGGATTAATGAAATCATACCTGAGAAGGTCTGAGAACCGTGTCTGCCTGGCCATCACCATCGTCATTGTCATCTCTTGGCCTTCTCACTGCCCTGGCATAACCGCCCTGTCTTGGATCAGTTGGGTGTGGCAGCCAATGGATCCAGTGCCTGCCCTGTGCTTCTTGTCCCCCTCCTTTGGGCCAGGCCCTGGGAGGAGGAGATGCTGTGAGCAGGAATACCCCTGTCCTCTCTGCAGAAAGCTGAGGGGCAGCCCTGTCTCTGCAGAGCTCCTGCCACACCACCTAGCCCTGGGGTTTTCTACCCCATAACAGTCCAGGAAAGGGTCAGACTGAGGCAGCCACGGTTTTGAGGCAGAGCCGGGCTCCGCTTGGGCGGTCTTTGTGATCCAGGACTCCAACAAGAGTGAGGCCAGTACTCCCTGTTGTCAGCACACATTTCCCTTTGGTCCGCCCAGGTTCAAGCACATGCAGATTCGGGTGAATGCGGAGCCTGCTGCTTTCTACAGGTGAGTCTGGAGAGATGGTTCCCCTTCTGCCTTGCCAGAGCTGAGAGTGGAGAAGGAAAGATGAATCCTCAACCCTCCCACCACCACCGAGCTCAGGGGCTGAGTGTTGTCACACTTGGCTGTGACCCTCTCCCTCTACCTCCCCCTGCCCTTGCCTGCCTCATCCTTAGGTCCAGGGGTTTGCTTCTGAAGCTGGTGGTTCCTTACTGTGGCCAGCTTTAGTCTTAGTGGCCTAGCGTGGGGCCTGAAATTGTCAAATGAATGAATGCCTCATCCTCTTGCTGGTGACTGTAAGACATCCGTCTGCCTCTGCTCTTCTGTCTGTTAAGAAGCTTTCTTGCCAGTGCCTGAGGTTCAAGCCTGATCCTTTGTCTCCGTAGCGTGGGATGGAATGGGAGCTTCTCAGAAAACCAGGAGACCTGCTCCCCACAATGCTGTCTAATGGAGCCAAGCGTCTGGTCTCCTGACGGCAGCAGCAGGAGCAGCAGCAGCGGCATGAAATCCCATCCCTTCCCTCCAGGGCCAGAACCGGTCCCTGTGCTCTGCCTTATGTGAGGCCTCTGAAATCAGCGTTAGGATTGATAGTGCAGGCAGAGGTTTGCGTTTAAGAAGTGGAAGCTACTCCTTGGCTCTGTACTTGGGGTGGATGTGATAGCCCTGGGACCTTTGCTCCTCAGTCTCTGCTGCAGTTTGCAACCTCCACCACTTGAGGGCACCAAGAATACTGGGAATCTGCGCTGGGGTGGGGTTGTGAGGTGGGCAGGGCTGGGTGTGTAAAAAAGTTGCTTTTGGAGGCCGGGCATGGTGGCTCATGCCTGTAATCCCAGCACTTTGGGAGGCCGAGGCGGGTGGATTGCCTGAGGTCAAGAGTTCGAGACCAGCCATGGCCAACATGGTGAAACCCTGTCTCTACTAAAAATACAAAAAATTAGCTGAGCATGGTGGCGGGCACCTGTAATCCCAGCTACTGGGGAGGCTGAGGCAGGAGAATCACTTGAATCCGGGAGGCAGAGGTTGCAGTAAGGCAAGATCCTGCCATTGCACTCCAGCCTGGGTGACAGAGCAAGACTCCGTCTCAAAAAAAAAAAAAGAAAAAAGTTGCTTTTGGATTCTGCAGCCTCTGCTCATGAAGCTCTGGGGAAGGCAGGTTAGTTTGTAGAGTTTCAGATGAGTTCTTCTGTGGCCTCTGTGCAAAATCTGAAATCTCCCTCCACCTTTTCTGCCTAGCGAATTTCTTCCCATCCTTGAAACCCCAGATCACCTCCTCTGGAGAGCCTTCCCAGACTCCCTTAATGGCTAAGCCTATCTGCTGCCATGGCCCTGAGGGCACACTTAGTACTCCTGATTCCAAGTGAAGAATGCAGTGTGCCTGCCTGCCCTCTGGACTGAGAGCTCCTCAAAGACAGAGATAATTTTCTCATTTCTTTATTGCACTAGCTAACTAGTGCAATGCCTGGTACACCTAGTGACCGCTCTGTGTATGTTTATTTAACAATAGTTTTTATTTATTGAGGGCTCCTTATGTGCTTGGCACTTTATATTTAGAAACTTTTAATTCTAACTCTAACCTATTACATAGGTATTATTGGCTCCATTTTATAGATTAAAAAAACTGAGGCTTGGAGGCTTAAGTAGCCTGCCTGTGTCACGCAGCTAGTAACTGGCCAGAGCCAGGATTTGAACTAGGTCTGCCCAACTCTAGAGTTTATGTTCTTCACACAGACAATACCATTAAGGCATGACTGAAGCCGTGAATGGGCGCTACCAGTAGACAGATCCTGAGACCAAGATCATTTGAATGGCCTTGGTTTCTAAAGGAGGGTGTGATATGGGACAGGCGGCCCCCCAACCTGGCTGAACCTCTCCAGCCCTGTGGACATCCCAGCCTTTCCTTGTCAGAGCTGGGCATGTGGAGCACATGAGGACAGACCGCAGGCTGCAGAGACTCCTTCAGACCCAGAGGGAGCTGATGTCCAAGGAGCTCTGGCTGTACAGTAGGCGAGGGGGCCCAGGGAAGTGGGAACCATGGGGTTGGACTGGTCTGCTTCCCTTCCCACACCTCTCTACCTCCTGTCTGCAAGGATAAATGTGCCATGATGAAGGAATTAACCGGGGATGAGGAGGGGGGGCTGTTGCCTTTCTGTGAGTATCCTCAGGAGAATGAGGATCCAGAGAGTCCACGTGGCCCTACTTGGCGTCCTGCTCCCTGTCTTAGGGTTGTGTCCGCTGTAGGGCATGTGGATGGTTCCTGGGTGTCTCACAGATGTGTTTTCTACAGTCGGCATCAACACCTTTGACTATCTGGGCAGCATCCTGAGTTACGTTGTCATCGCAATCCCCATTTTCAGCGGGGTCTATGGAGACCTGAGTCCCGCAGAGCTTAGCACCCTGGTCAGCAAGGTGAGACTCCCTCTTGGTCACCCCACATGCTGTCCCTCTCTGTCCTTGGCCCAGTGTCTGTGGGCTCGAGTCGAGACCTGCTTGACCTCTTCCCATCCTGTCCAGAATGCCTTTGTGTGCATCTACCTCATCAGCTGCTTCACCCAGCTCATCGACCTGTCCACGACGCTCTCAGATGTGGCTGGCTACACGCACAGGTGAGGCCGTGTCCCACCCCTCTGGCTCCTGAGCAAAGTGTGTGCTGCTGGCAGAAGTGGCTGAGTGAAAAAAGGAACAGAGACATACCATGTACTCGTGGGTGTGAGATAGGAAAAGGAGTTCACCTTCACCTGGCTCCCAGACCCTGCCTCAGATTTTCTTTTCTTGTTCAGAATTGGGCAGCTTCGGGAGACGCTTCTGGACATGTCCCTGAAGTCACAGGACTGCGAGATCCTGGGCGAGAGCGAGTGGGGCTTGGACACGTGAGTAGCGGGCTGGCAGAGCAGTAGTTGAGGCTGCAGGCTGTGGCATCACCTGGCTTGGGTTACCCTGGAGTCCTGCCCTTTCCCAGCTGGGCAGCAGAGTTGTAAGGAGTAAATGGAAATGGAATGCCAGGCACATGTAAGTTCACAGTCGATGTTGCTGTTCCGGCATCTGTTGTGTTAATTTACACCATTCCCCGGCCAGTGGAAGCAAAGTACACACACCTTCTGCCTGAGATAACAGGAATCTGCAGTGTCCTCCCCTTCCTGTGCTTCCTCCTCCCGCTGATTCCTCTCCCTGCCCCTTTCCTTGGGGCATGTCTGTCTTTGTTCCCCCACCTCACTCAGCCCCAGAGATGTCTGTATCCGTGTGTCTGCGTGGATCTGTAATATTTCTGTGCATTCAGGATTTGCTTGATCTCCACACTTTCCTTGGGCAGATTACCTAACTGTTCTGTTTCTTCATGTCTGAAAAGGAGGTCATAATGAACTTCCTTCACTTGTTGTAGGGATTAGATATCATCATCCATGGAAAGTGCTTGGACAGTGGCCACATCATAAGCTTTCAAAAATCAGTCTGAATTCCAGGGCCTACACTCAACTTGCTTTTCTTAGGAGCTAATACCTTAACTGTTGCTTCTGTTCCAAATGAAAGCTTCATGCAACCATGAGTGCAGAGGCTGGGCATGAAGGAGGGTCTGTAGGAAACTGGAATTGCTGTTCTGTGGGGAGCCAGGCATCCATGCAGAGGCAGAAACTCCAGAACCATTTAGCTTTAACCACTCCCATTCTTGTTATTAGTACTCTGGTCACACTGTGATGCCATGAAGACCCACCAGCATTAGAATTTGTTGAATACCGCTCTGCAACCTGGGCAGTTACTTAGCCACCTGATTCTTAGTGTCCTCATCTGTGATGATATTTGAGACTCATGGGCATTAGACTGAGTAAGATCAGTCCCATAAGGGGCTTTGTCCAGCCAGGCAGAGAGTAGAAGTTCCACCCCTACCCCTGTATTAATGTGCTCAGGCTGCCATGACAGAAAACCACAAACCGGCTGGCTTAAACAATAGAAATTAATTTCCTCACAATTCTGGATGCTTATGGTCCACGATCAAGTTGTCAGCAGGG
The DNA here is from genome assembly GCF_000001405.40 of Homo sapiens. Classification (NCBI taxonomy): domain Eukaryota; kingdom Metazoa; phylum Chordata; class Mammalia; order Primates; family Hominidae; genus Homo; species Homo sapiens. Next base: position 74,291,155 of record NC_000014.9, on the reverse strand, counting down.
TTGGTTTCTTAGGCCACTCCTTGGCTTGTAGATGGCCACCTTGTTGCTGTGTCCTCACGTGGCCTTTCCTTTATATGTGCGTGCCCCTGCCACCTCTATCTTAAGAGGACACCAGTCATATTGGATTAGGGTCCCACCCCAACAACTTCATGTTAACATCATCTCTTTAAAGACCCTGCCTCCAGCTGGGCACGGAAGCTCACGTCTATAATCCCACCACTTTGGGAGGCTGAGGTGGGCAGATCACCTGAGGTCACAAGTTCGAGACCAGACTGGCCAACATAGTGAAACCCTGTCTCTACTAAAAATATGGGCACGGTGGTGGGCACCTGTAATCCAGCTACTCAGGAGGCTGGGACAGGAAAATCGCTTGAACCCAGGAGGCGGAGGTTGCAGTGAGCTGAGATAGCTCCACTGCACTCAAGCCTGGGTGACAGCAAGACTTTCTCTCAAAAAAAAAAAAAAAAAAAAAGACCCTGCCTCCGAATGCAGTTACATTCTGAGTCACTAGGGGGCTGGACTTCAGCATGTGATTTTGGGAGGATGCAAGTCAGCCCATAATAATCCACAGGTGGTGGCTCCCGGGAGCAGTGCCTCCCCCACAGCAATACTGACCCTGCCCATCTTCCTCACGCCCCCTCTCTTCTCTGACACAGACCCCCAGGGTGGCCAGCGGCAGAGCCAGCAGACACAGCATTTCTCCTTGAGCGGGTCTCCATCTCTGCCCCCTCCTCTGACAAACCCCTAATCAAGGATCTGAGCCTAAAGATCTCCGAGGGACAGAGCCTGCTCATCACAGGCAACACGGGCACTGGCAAGACCTCCTTGCTCCGGGTTCTGGGTGGCCTCTGGACGAGTACACGGGGTGAGAGCCAGGCCCTCCCTGCCTCTGACCCAGCCTGGGCCCTAGGGGTGGGGTGAAGGCGGGGACGGTGTGGTAGAATCCATTCTTTTCTGTTGGGGAACAAGGAAGAGAGGAGACAGGCAGTTGCCTCTTCTGGGAGATCTCACAATGGAGGTTTCTGTGGGCTCTGCAGGCTCAGTGCAGATGCTGACGGACTTTGGGCCCCATGGGGTGCTATTCCTGCCACAAAAGCCATTCTTCACTGACGGGACCCTTCGGGAGCAGGTCAGTCTAGTTCAGGGGGCTCACTCCTCCCTCCTCAACCCCGCCCACCCACAGCTGGGACCTCTGGCACTGTGACAAGTCTCAGGTCCTAGAGTCAGGGCAAAAGGTGAGGTGGTGAAGTGGCCCGGGCCTGGGAACTGCTGGCTCTAAGAACCTTCTATTCACATCCATGGATTGGGCCCACTACTCATAGCAGCTCCTGAGGCAGGTAAATGGGGCAAGGACTCACGCCAAATACCACACGCGTATGTCAAACACCCAAGGTCGGATTCTGGGGCCCCTGCCCTCAGGAGGCTGTCAGACTGTTCCCCCTAAACACACTTCTGAAGGTTGTAGGGACCTTGCCCTGCTGTCTGCCGGCCAGAGCCTCTCCCATCTGACCCAGGCCAGGCGTTCCCACCTCTCCTCCTTGGGAGGTTCCAGTGGGTTCTGGAGGGAGGGTGGGCTGTGTGCAGCTCCGTCTTTTGCTCGCCCTCCTAGGTTGGTGTGGTTTTTTTCTTTTCTCAGGTGATATATCCCCTGAAGGAGGTCTACCCCGACTCAGGTGAGCTGGTCCTCCTTAGGTCATGTCCTCTCCTTCTGTCATGGTTGTCCCTGCTCTACCTGACTGTGGCCTCATCTGTGCCCTTGGGGAGAGGCTCCAGCCAGGCCGCTGATTCAAGGAAGAGGGGCTCCTCTCCTCTTCCTTTGACTGTTTTGGGGTCTGTACCCAGATCTCACCTCATTCTTTCTGTCCTTAAGGAGAGATGCCCACTGGGACAAGGAAAGTGATGCCTTCCTTCACCCACCCCTTCCCTTATGAAGATCTGCAACCTGTGGTTTCAAAGCCTTCGCCCAGCATTCTGAGGCCCCCACCCCTGCATCATCCATGATGTGCCCTGTCTATTCTTTTTTTTTTTTTTTTTTTTTTTTTTTGAGATGGAGTTTCACTCTGTCACCCAGACTGGAGTGCAGTGGTGTGATCTCGGCTCACTGCAACCTCCACCTCCCGGGTTCAAGCAATTCCCCTGCCTCAGCCTCTTCCGTAGCTGGGGCTACAGGTGCACGCCACCTTGCCTGCCTAATTTTTGTATATTTAGTAGAGACAGCGTTTCACCATGTTGGCCAGGGTGGTCTCCATCTCCTGACCTTGTGATCCACCTGCCTCGGCCTCCCAAAGTGTTGGGATTACAGGCGTGAGCCACTGTGCACAGCCTTGCCCTGTCTATTTTGACCAGCCAGGAGGCTCTGGCTTTTTGCAGAAGGCTTCTTTGTTGTGCAGGTTCTGCCGATGATGAGAGGATCTTGAGGTTCTTGGAATTGGCAGGCCTGGTAAGTGGGGAGAGGGACCCTCAGGACCCGAGCCCACCTGGGAGCACCAGCTACAGGTAGGCAGGTGCTGGCCCTGCTATGCTTGGGCCCAGGACTGGAAGTCTGAACCTGGGGTGGAGAATGGGAGTATCAGTTGACAGTGTGTGCTGTTGGCCAGGTTTAGGCACGAAGGGGGTAGTGCTCTCATTGGAGAATTTTAAAACAAGAATAGGATTGATGAAGGCGGTTTGCTTTTTACTGTCATCATGCTCCAGCAAGTCTAAACAGTGTCATTGGTAGAATATTCCTCTCTGCCTGGGGCAGACTGTCCCACAGTCCCCCGCCTTGGTATGCCACTGGGGCATATATTTGTCTTAGAGGTGTGTGTGTATGCTGGGGAGTGAGGGAGGTTCCCCATGATGGCAGGTAGCAGGGCTGGCCATTTCATGGACATCCTGCCCTCTGGGTCTGTTACAGTCCAACTTGGTGGCAAGGACAGAGGGCCTGGACCAGCAGGTGGACTGGAACTGGTAAGAAAAGAGCTTGGGTGCTCCAGAGATAGCCCCACCATAAAGACAGTGGGTTTCAGGGTCCCTGTCAAGGAATGGAACGGCTCCTGACCCCAAAGTCCAGATGTTTGGCTGGTCAGTCGGGTGCAAGTTTATGCCCTTGGGAACAGAGTTTTGCCTCACTCTGTGAGGGCTGTAGGCCTATGGTCGAAAGGGAAGGGGCTTCTGTCTCCTGGGGCTCACCTCTGTGCAGAGAAACCTCTTCCTACCCAGACCATTCTAGGTAAAAGCCAAGCTATATTCTTCCTCCTCTAGCAGTCCTCTCTCCTACCTTTCCTCAGGTATGATGTTCTGTCCCCGGGGGAGATGCAACGGCTCTCCTTTGCCCGACTCTTCTACCTGCAGCCGAAGTACGCAGGTGAGGTCTCGCCTTGTGGCTGCACATGCCATGCGCTGTCTGCACTCACGGGTGTAGCAGCATGTGTTCACAGGCACCCAGGCACACCTGTGAATGGCTGGGCTTCTCCGCATTCCCTGCTGGAGAGGACAGCAGGCCCTGCCCGTGTAAACAGTGCCTGGCATCGTCAGAGTTAACACTGAATATGCGGTACTGCCAGCTCATAAGCTTGCTTTTCTTCTGTTTTCTTTTTTCTTTTCTTTTTTTTTTTTTTTTTTTGAGACAGTCTCACTCTGTCACCCAGGCTGGGGTACAGGGGCACAGTCATGGCTCAGTGCAGCCTGGAACTCCCAGGCTTAAGTGATCCTCCCACCTCAGCCTCCTGAGTAGCTGGGACTACAAGCATGTGCCACCACACCCTGCTAATTTTTTTATTTTTATTTTTGTAGAGACAGGGTCATGCTATGTTGCCCAGGCTGGTCTGGAGTTCCTGGACTCAGGCCATCCTCCCACGTTGGCCTCCCAAAGTGCTGGGATTACAGGCATGAACCACTATGCCTAGCTCATAAGCTTTTTGCCTGGCAGCAGCTGGAGCCAGGAGCCAACATTGAAGGGTTATAATTTTATGCTCCTCTGGCTCCACCATCAAATGAATGGGCACCCATCCTCCTCTCCCACCAAGCTGTGCCTGGCAGGTGGATGGGTGTGGACTTTTCCAAAGACTGACATTCTTGCGGGGGACTGGGATTCCCTGGATTGAGTGGTCCCAGGGAGTGGCTGGTGCTTATCTATAGAAGCTGAGAGATTTCATGCAGCTGCTCACAGGCTATTCCCTTGGAGAGTCTGGCCCTCTGCTCCTCTGGCCCATCCTTCTCCCTGAGGCAGGGCTTCTGGAAGCCAGAGCAGCTTTCAGCCTCCCCTGGGTCCCAGCTGGGGTTGAGTATGGGTGGGAGGAGAAGCAGCGGCGGCAGAGGGCAGGGCTTTGATCTCTTCCTCTGTGCTCTGCCCCCTCAGTGCTTGATGAAGCCACCAGTGCCCTGACAGAGGAAGTGGAGAGCGAGCTCTATCGCATCGGCCAGCAGCTGGGGATGACGTTCATCAGTGTGGGACATCGGCAGAGCCTTGAGAAGGTACCCGTGCTCACAAGGATGGCCTGAGGAGGAGAAAGAACCCAAAGGCTCAGCCTGGCCAGGGCCAGAGGCCCCTCAAAACGGGGAGTAGCAGTAGCAGAGAGAACCGAGTGGCCTCCTCTGCCAGCGGCCAGGGCAGCCTGATCTCCATGTGGTGGTGGTCTCTTGTAGTTTCATTCCTTGGTTCTGAAACTCTGTGGAGGAGGAAGATGGGAGCTGATGAGAATCAAAGTGGAATGAAGCTCTGGCTTTTGGAAGGAGAGCCACACTGTGGCGGGTCGGCGGCCCTCAGGAGAGACCAGGAGGACTGACAGCGAAGATCGAGCTCAGGTTCGCCACATAGATCCCGTGCAGGAGCCACATGGGTCCTGTGCAGGACCCCTAGCAGTGGTGGGCTGAGCCCAGGTCTAGGTTTCTGTGGGGGACACTGAATCTCCCAGTGTTCAGTCTCCCAGGACTCTGCTGCCTCAGCCAGAGCCTCCATATGCTTGAAGTGCTGATTACCTACAAATGATTTCAGATCATGTTTGCTAAAGAGAAATCTGGAAGTGTGAGATCTGTAAGAAATGAAAGAAATGACTCTTGGAGTCAAGAGATCTGGAAATCTTTTAATCAGTTAAATTGTGCAGCAATAGATTTTTAACTTTAACTGACCATTTAAGTTTTTTAATAAGTTTTTTACAAAGAAAAGTTAAACATTAAAAAGAATTACAGCTTTCTGTCTTCTCTATCATGGAATGATCTTTTTTATTGAATCTCCAGATTTGTATTTGACAGCTTGGTGGGAAGGGAAGCACACTCTGCTGTTCTGGAATCTTATGCCCAGGGTTTTTCACTTCTCCCCACATCTCCCTTTCCACTTGCCAGTGTTGTGTAGTTAGAACCTGAACCACTAACTTCCAGGGGCCTTTGGTCTGCCCTACCTTAACCCAAATGAAAGTAAATCCCTTTCCCCTTAGCCAAAATAAGGTTGGGTTTTCTAAAAAAATAGTCTATATTAGGGAACAACAACAGCAAATTAGACAAAACCCAGAAAGCACAAAGCATGAGGTGGAGTTACTGTGCCCAAAGTCCTCACTCAGACCAGTGCCCCTCCAGTTCAGTTGTCTATGTATTACCTTCCTTACCTTCATAATTTTTGCCAGGCTTCTGTACTTCTAGTACTTGAGTTACTTAATATTTTTAAAAACAAACCTTTTAAGTTTAAATGGATTTTTAAGTGAAATTTTACACTTAACATAGATGGAAAGTAACTAAAAATAAATACAAGAAAAACCATCGGTGTTATTAACTTACGGCTAGATGCTGTTGCCTGCATAGACTCTGGGCCTGAGGCTTGTTCATTTTGTAAAAAAGAGAGGTGAGGAGTTAGACGGACTGGCACTCAACTGAGATTTTTCTCCTTAATAAAATCAGAAAGATGGAGTGAGAATTGTATTTTCTCACTGTAAAATATAAGATTATTTAACGCTTTCTTGGTACCACTTAAAAATGACTTACTCTATCCTTACTGACTTCTTCAGCTCCTAAGCCTTTTTCACAGACGCTGCTGCCGCTGCCAAGTTATTTTGTTTATTTTTATTTTTTATTATTTATTTTTGAGACAGTGTCTCACACCTCACTCTGTAGCCCAGGCTGTAATCTAGTGGCACAATCACAGCTTATTGCAGCCTTGACTTCCCGGGCTCAAGTGATCCTCCCACCACAGCCTCTCAAGTAGCTGGGACCACAGGCAGGAGCTCCTATGCCCAGCATCCAGATTATTTTGGAGACCAATTCATTCCTATCTCAGGGTCTTTGCATTTGCTGCTTCCTCTGCCTCTAACTGGTTTCCAGTGCTGTTCTGTTCTTAACACTTAGCCTTCTCCCTCACAGAAACTGCCCAAGAAAGCTACTCCTAGGGGCACACTCTGCACCTCTATCCCTCCCTCATGTCAGAGATGGAGACTACTCTTAGATGAGTCGACATAAACATGCGTGGAGGAAAATCAGGTCTTGTGTCCTTCATAGTACATTATGGACAAAATGTTTGTTTTAAATGCATCGTACATCAGCCAGGCAAATAGTTTCCCAAACTTAAGACCCATTTTGGCCACCCAGGAATCTACAGTGACCCATGTGGATGAGACATAAAGATAGCCATAGGTTTCCCATCACTCTTCTGGAGGGTTCTGGGCTGCAGGACAGGCAGAAAAGCCATCTTTTGTCATCTCTATCCACGTTGGCTTAACATGTCAATGTGTGTCTAGTAAAGGCAGCTCAAACCCAACATGTCCCAAACTGAACAAGAAGAGCTTTCCCTGGCCGGGCATAGTGGCTCATGCCTGTAATCCCAGCACTTTGGGAGGCTGAGGTGGGTGGATTGCAAGGTCAGGAGATCGAAACCATCCTGGCCAACATGGTGAAACCCCGTCTCTACTAAAAATAAAAAAATTAGCTGGGTGTGGTGGCACATGCCTGTAATCCCAGCTACTCGGGAGGCTGAGGCTGGAGAATCGCTTGAACCCAGGAGGCGGGGGTTGCAGTGAGCCGAGATCGTGCCACTGCACTCCAGCCTGGTGCCAAAGCAAGACTCTGTCTCAAAAAAAAAGAAAGCTTTCCCACTCACGCCTGTAATCCCAGCACTTTGGGAGGCCGAGGTGGGCAGATCACAAGGTCAGGAGTTCAGGACCAGCCTGGCCAATATGGTAAAACCCCATCTCTACTAAAAATACAAAAGTTAGCCGGGTGTGGTGGCAGGCGCCTGTAGTCCCAGCTACTCGGGAGGCTGAGGCAGGAGAATCATTTGAACCCAGGAGGCGGAGGTTGCAGTGAGCAGAGATTGTGCCACGGCACTCCAGCCTGGGCGACAGAGCGAGACTCCGTCTCAAAAAAAAGCTTTCCCCAGAGCCTTTTCTAGCATCTCCTCTGATGGCAAGTGGCGTTACTGTCCATCTAGCACATCACCAGGTGCTGTTGCTCTGACCCCATAAGTAAATCTTCCAGCCATTCACTTCTCTCACCTGCTTGAATCCTAGCTAGAAGCAGCTCAGAGGGAGCCAGAAAAATGAGAAAAACCACAAGGAGAATCGAGGAACAGGAGCCTGGACGGCAGCTGGACTCTGAAAAAAAGAAGTGTCAGGAGGCAGCCTGAGCCTGCCACGTAGGGGAATGTTAGTAACCAGTGGCACGGCATTCTGTGGGCTATGGGGCAGTTCTTGAAAGTGAGGGCACTTTGGTTTGCCGCACACCAGCCATGTCTGAGGCACCATTCTCAGTTCCAGGGTTACAGTGGGGAGCAAGATGGACCTGGCACCTCTGCTGGAGCTCGCGTGTTCCATGTGGTACATGGTGGGTCTGAAGGCAGAAAGCAGCAGGAAAACACTGGGCTCAACTACAAGTGGAAAACATTTACAAAATCGTATGTCTGTTGTGATACTGTAGCAGGTCTTCTTGAGCTGCCTCTAGAACTCGAGCATTCTAGCATTACCCAAAACATCAAGTCAAATACAAAACCATGGAAGACTATTACAGAATGTTACCAGATGGTTCGTGAGTGTGTAGGGAGTCCTATTTCCTGCTGCAAAGCAAACCATCTTTTTTTTTTTTTTTGAGACGGAGTTCACTCTTGTTGTCCAAACTGGAGTGCAATGGCGCAATCTCGGCTCACTGCAACCTCTGCCTCCCAGGTTCAAGCAATTCTCCCGCCTCAGCCTCCTTAGTAGCTGGGATTACAGGCATGTGCCACCATGCCCAGCTAATTTTTTTTTTTTTTTTGAGACGGAGTTGCTCTGTCCCACAGGCTGTAGTGCACTGGCGCAATCTCAGCTCACTGCCAGCTCTGCCTCCCGGGTTCACGCCATTCTTCTGCCTCAGCCTCCCAAGTAGCTGGGACTACAGGCGTCCACCACCACACCTGGCTAATTTTCTGTATTTTTAGTAGAGATGGGGTTTCACCGTGTTAGCCAGGATGGTCTCGATCTCCTGACCTCATGATTTGCCTGCCTCAGCCTCCCAAAGTGCTGGAATTACAGGCGTGAGCCACCACGCTTGGCCGTATTTTTTTTTTTAGTAGAGGCAGGGTTTCACCATGTTGGCCAGGCTGGGCTCGAACTCCTGAACTCAGGCAATCCACCTGCCTCAGCCTCCCAAAGTGCTGGGATTACAGGTGTGAGCCACTGCGCCTGGCCTGCAAACCATCTTTAAAATCCCCATTATCTTTCCCTTGGTTTCACTTCTTACACAGCAGCCTGTGTCTTCTCTCCTTCTCCTGTATCTCCCCTGCAATCCCTTTAACCCCTCCGAAAGGATTGGGTACTGGAGGGGACAACTTGGATTCCGGGACAGATTATCTCAGGAAAGACCAGGGAGGATGGAAGTGATCTTAGCTTTTGAACAAAAGTTCATGAATGCAACATCTGTGGGGCAGGCACTGCAAACAGAAGTCCTCATAAACAGCTGCCACACCTCCCCTGCATCCAGCATTTTGGAGACATTTTTTCATTTATGTATATGTGTATGTATGAGTGATGGGGTCTTTCTCTGTCGTCAGGCTGGAGTGTAGTAGCACAATCATAGCTCACTGCAGCCTCGACCTCCTGGGCTGAAGCAATTCTCCTGCCTCAGCCTCCTAAGTAGCTGGAACTATAGGTGTGCGCTAGCACGCCCAGCTAAATTTTTTTTTTTTTTTCTTTTGTGGAGATGGGGTTTCACCATGTTGCCCAAGCTGGTCTTGAACTCCTGGGCTCAAGCAGTCCTCTTGCCTCGGCCTCCCAAAGTGCTGGGATTACAGGCGTGAGCCACTGTGCCCGGCCATTTTCTTTTTTCTTTGTAGAGACGGGGCTCTCACCATGTTGCCCAAGCTGGTCTTGAACTCCTGGGCTCAAGCCGTCCTTTTGCCTCAGCCTCCCAAAGTGCTGGGATTACATGCGTGAACCACTGTGCCCTGCCCATTTTTTTCATTTAATTGTCACCACAGACCTAGCAGCAAGGAAGGCTGCAGGGCTTGGGCTATCACTGATGGGGCTGTCAGAGGTAGGGTCCTTGAGTCCTTGCAAAACAAAATGCCTGGGGGTTCTGCTAGGTGTGGAAGAAAGACAGGGACTGAGGAAGGTGAGCTGGTAACCTGGCCACACGGACCAGGCCAGTTGAGAAGGAAGCAGAGTGGGAAAGCCTCTGGGCAGAGGAAGGAGGGAGGGAGATGCTTCTCATGGGCAGAGGATAAGGAGCCCCCAAGAGACTCGGGCTGGCCACTCTGGTCATTTTGAGGGTAACAGAGACTGGAAGGTCACCAATAAGCCTCTGTTCCTGCCATAGGCCAGAGAGAGCTGTGCTGTGTGTTCTGTGTCCACAACAGAGCTGAGCTTGTCGGTCCAGGAAGCCGGAGAAACACAATGCCAGTTAGTCTCTGTAAATGCTGCCTTTCTGGAAGCACTGTCCTGTTGGTGCCAGGAGCTCCTGGCTGATGCTGTACTTGGATTTTGGGACAATGAATGTTCCTGAGCTAATCCCTGGGACAGAGAGGACCCTGTGGAGGCACATGTAATTGTTGGGACAGCCTGCCCTTGGAGAGCAAGTCAGCTGAGAGGGGGGCCAGTACCCTTGTGGGAGGCTGCAGCAATGCCCTCCTAGGGGGTGGGGAGAAGCTTAGCTAAACCCTGGCCCTGGGCATCAAGCAGGAGGACATGGGCTAGGGAACATTGACCTTGAGCCTCCAAGCAGGGTGAGGCTGGCCAGGGTGGGCCAGTGGATTTGTTCATCTGTAGGTAGGAAAGAGTCTTGAAGGTCGGAAGCCTCAGGGAAGGCTCAAGTTCAGGGCAGGACAGAGGGGTTCATTTGTTCTTAGCTCCTGGCATTCAAGGAAATCTCTCAAGGCACTAGCTGAACAGAGACCACACATGACAAGGATTACTGACTTTGCAAAAATAGTTTGGTAAAGTCACCAAACAAAGAGGCAACTACAGCCTTCAGCAATTAAAAACAGTAAACTGGGGAAGGAGGAGAAACTGATTTCTAGGGTTGCCATATTATAATATTCAAATGTCTAGGTTTCTTTTTTTTTTTTTTTTTTTTGAGACGGAGTCTTGCTCTGTCACCCAGGCTGGAGTGCAGTGGCGTGATCTCGGCTCAGTGCAACCTCTGCCTTCCAGATTCAAGCAATTCTCCTGCCTCAGCCTCCCGGGTAGCTGGGATTACAAGCGCGTGCCACCACGCCCAGCTAATTTTTGTATTTTTAATAGAGACGGGGTTTCACCATGTTGCCCAGGCTGGTCTTGAACCCCTGACCCCAGGTGATCTGCCCACCTCGGCCTCCCAAAGTGCTGGGATTACAGGCATGAGCCACCACGCCTGGCCTTCAAATGTCTAGTTTTCAATAACAAGTAGAACCTCACAAATTATACAAAGAAATAAGAAATGATGGTCCATTCAAGAGGAAAAAAGTTGACAGAACCTGTTTCTAAGGAAGCCTAGACATTTAAATGTGCTCAAAGAGCTCATGGAAAGCACGGGCAAAGAACTAAAGGAAAACAGAAAAATGAGGTACAAAATGAATATCAAGAAAGAGACAGAAATTATAAAAAGGAATTCAGGCCAGACACAGTGGCTCACGTTTGAAGTCATAGCATTTTGGGAGGCCAAGGTGGGTGGATCACCTGAGGTCAGTAGTTCAAGATCAGCCTGGCCAACATGGCAAAACCCCGTCTCTACTAAAAATACAAAAAGTTAGCTGGGTGTGGTGGTGGGCTCCTGTAATCCCAGCTACTCGGGAGGCTGAGGAGGGAGAATTGCTTGAATCTGGAAGGCAGAGGTTGCACTGAGCCAAGATCGCACCACTGCACTCCAGCCTGGGCAAAACTCCATCTAAAAAAAAAAACAAACAAACAAAAGGAATAAAGGAATCCAGTAGAGCTGGACCTGAAAAGTATAGCAACTGAAATAAAAAATTCACTAGAGGGGTTCTACAGCCGATGAGAACAAGCGGAAAAAAAAGAACCAGCGAACCTGAAGACAGGATGATTGAAAGTCTCCAGTCTAAGGAGCAGAATGAAAGAAAGTAAGCAGAATCTAAGTGATTGTGAGACACCGTCAAGTGGAACAACATCCTGAGACTGTGGGACTCTTGGAAGAAGAGAAGAGGAAGGGGAAGGAAGAATATTTGAGGAAGTAACAGCCAGAACTTCTCGAGAGTGAAAGGTAGAAAATATTTGCAAATCAGAAATCTGATAAGAGTCTAGTATCCCAAATATTTAAAGAACTCTTACAACTCAACAATAAAAAGACAATCCAATTTAAAAATGGACATTTCTCCAAAGAAGATATATAAATGGCCAACAAGCATACAAAAAGATGATCAACATCATTAGTCATGAGGGAAATGCAAATAAAAACCACAGTGAGATATTTCATACCCACTAGGGTGGCTATAATTTAAAAAACAGAAAATAACAAGTGCTGATGAGGAAATAGAAAATTGGATCTGGGCATGGTGGCCCACATCTGTAATCCCAGCACTTTGGGAGGCCAAGACGGGTGGGTCACCTGAGTTCAGGAGTTCAAGACCAGTCTGGCCAACATGGTGAAACCCTGTCTCTACTAAAAATACAAAAATTAGCACAGAGTGGTGGCACACACCTGTAGTCCCAGCTACCCGGGAGACTGAGGCATGAGAATCGCTTGAACCTGGGAGGCAGAGGTTGCAGTGAGCCAATATCGCACCACTGCACTCCAGCCTGGGCAACATAGCAAGACTCCGTCTCAAAAAAAAAAAAATTGGAACCTTTGTACATTACTGGCAGAAATGTAAAATGGTGCAGCCACTATGGAAAACATTCTGGTAGTTCCTCAAAAAGTAAAATAACTACCATATGACCTGGCAGTTCCATTCAGGCATATCTCAAAAGAACCAAGGATGGGTACCCCAACCAATACTTTTATAGGAGTGTTCATAACAGCACTATTCACAATAACCAGAAAGTGGAAACAGCTCAAAAATGTCCATCAACAGATGAACTGGCACTGGCTCTATCACTGGATTTGGTGCTGAAGCCGCTTCTAGCTCTGCAGCTGGCACTCATTCTGGCTTTAGCTTGGGGATGAGTGCTGTGGTGGGTGCTGGAGCTAGCTCCTGCTTTGTAGCTGGTGCTGGCACTGGCTCTACTGCTAGTGCTAGACTAGGTGTCAGAACTGTCTAGCTCTGGAGCTGGATCTAGGGCTGGTGCTAGAGCAGGAGCAGGCTCTAGCTTCAAAGCTGCCATTGGAGCTGACTCTAGCTCTAGAGCTGACACCAAAGCTGAATATAGCTCTGTGGCTGGCACTACAACTGGCTTAAGCTCTGGAACAGGTGATGGAGCTAGTTCTAGAGCTAGCACTGGCTTTAGCTCTGGAGGTGGTGCCAAAGCTGGCACTTCACCTGGCCTAGGCTCTGGAGCTGGTGCTAGAGCTGGCTCTAGCTTCTCATCTGGTGCTGGAGCTAGTGATGGAGCTGGCTCTAGCTGTGCTGCTGGTGCTGGAGCTGGCACTAGCTCTGGACCTAGAACTTCCTTTAGTGCCAGCGTTGGTGCTGAACCTGCTTCTGGCTCTGGAGCTGGCACTAAATCTGGCTATAGCTCACGAGTGGATGCCAGAGTTGGTGCTGGAGTAGGTGCAGAGCTGTCTGTAGCTCTAGAGCTGGAGCTAGTGCTGGTACTAATGTTGACACTGGCATAGGAGCCGGAGCAGGCTCTAGCTTTGGAGCTGACTCCAGCTTTAGAGCTGACTCTAGCTCTGGAGATAGCACTGGATCTGGAGCTGGCTCCTGAAGTTGAATGTAGCTCTGGAGTTGGCACAACAACTGGTTCTAGCTCTGGAGCTGGTGCTAGAACTGGCTCACTCTCTACAGCTTGTGCTGAAGCTGATGGTAGAGCTGACACCGGATCTGGCCCTAGCTCTGGACCTGGTGTCAGAACTGGCACTGGAGCTGGAAGAGGAGAAAGGTTTGCCAGCATGATTGGATTCCATGTGCCTTTTCAAAGACAGAAAGCATCCCACTGCAGGCTGGACATGGTGGCTCACGCCTGTAATCCCAGCACTTTGGGAGGCCAAGGCGGGTGGATCACTTGAGGTTAGCAGTTTGAGACCAGCCTGACCAACATGGTGAAATCCCATCTACTAAAAATACAAAACTAGGCGTGGTGGTGCATGCCTGTAATTGTAGCTACTTGAGAGGCTGAGGCAGGAGAATCACTTGAACCTGGGAGGCAGAAGTTGCAGTGAGCCGAGATTGCACGACTGCACTCTAGCCTGGGCAACAAGAGTGGAACTCCATCTCAAAAAAAAAAAAAAAGCATCCTACTGCTTTAAGAACAGTCCTGGCCCGGTGTGGTGGCTCACGCCTGTACTCCCAGCATTCTGGGAGGCCGAGGCAGGTGGATCACAAGGTCAGGAGATCGAGACCATTCTGACCAACATGGTGAAACCCCGTCTGTACTAAAATCACAAAAATTAGCTAGGCATGGTGGCGTGTGCCTGTAATTCTAGCTACTCAGAAGGCTGAGGCAGGAGAATTGCTTGAACCCAGGAGGCGGAGGTTGCAGTGAGCTGGGATCACGCCACTGCACACCAGCCTGGGCAACAGAGCAAGACTCTGTCTCGGAAAAAAAAAAAAAAAAAAAAAAGCAGTCCCAGCCCAAGAACTCTGCCCCCAGCAAGTCTTCTCAGTCTGCAGCCCACCAAATGAGTGCTCCGAGCTTACTCTCTGCTCCTGTCCAACACCGCTCGTCCCAGGGTGGCCCAGCCCCAGGCCCCTCCCCACACATTCCCGCACACCCACCCCAGTCCTCTTCATCCTCTTACTCTACCCCAGTGGCCTCTAGGTGCTTGAACTGGGCAAGAAGAAGTCAGGCCTAGCACTCCAGGTACCAAGCCAGCATGGTAAGCTGAATGTAGCCACCAACAGCCTCTGGCAGGGAAAGTCTTGAGGCTGACAGAATTCTCCAGGCACTGGTCCAGACAGGAGCCCAGAATGAGGAGATGGCGCTGGGACAGGTGAGTGAGCAGTGGAGTCAGAGGCCTGGCCTTTCCTCCCATGCTACCCTCCTGTGGCACCCCTGCAGGGGTCTAGGCTCCCGTGTCTGCCCTTGCCCACTTCTATACCCCAAACTCCAGCCCCACTCTAGCTGTCCTGGCAGCAGCAGACCTGGTCGTCAAACATGGGGCTAGCAAGGAGCCTCAGGCATAGGGAGCTCTCAATAAATGTCTGACCAGCCGGGCGCAGTGGCTCATGCCTGTAATTCCAGCACTTTGGGAGGCTGAGGCAGGCAAATCACCTGAGGTCGGGAGTTCGGGAGGTGGAGATTGTGGTGAGCCGAGATCTCGCCATTGCACTCCAGCCTGGGCAACAAAAGCAAAACTCCGTCTCAAAAAAAAAAAAAACAAAATGGTCTGACCGGCTCCCCCAAGGCAGGCCTAGAGAGTCTGGGGGAGGCCCTCCCCATCTAGGGACACATGGATCACCCTTGCCCTTCTGCTCAGGAGGTACCCCAGGGCCTCTCCCTGACGCCAGTCCTCCCAGCCCAGGGTGTCTTCTCACACACTGCTCACTCTGTCTGCCCACATTCTTCCTGTAATTTTTTTTTTTTTTGATACAGAGTCTCACTCTATTATTCAGGCTGGAGTGCAGTGGCATGATCTTGGCTCACTGCAACATCCACCTCCCGGGTTCATGCGATTCTCTCACCTCAGCCTCCCAAGTAGCTGGGATTACAGGCAGGCGCCACCACACCCAGCTAATTTTTGTGTTTTTAGTAGAGATGGGGTTTCGCTATGTTGGCCAGGCTGGTCTTGAACTCCTCACCTCAAGTGATCCGCTCACCTCGGCCTCCCAAAGTGCTGGGATTACAGGTGTGAGCCACTGCGCCCAGCCAGTCTGTCCACATTCTTGACATCTGTCCCTACTCGCTAGCCAAACCGCAGCTTCCAGAGAAGAGTGGGCCTGGCCCCCAGCTTTGCCAGGGGTGGTCAGGTGGGTGAGCACTTTCCATTCCTAGCATAGCCACAGAGTACACTCCTCCTACCATCTGTCTCCCCCTTCCAGTGGAAAAGATGGTGCTGTCCCAGGGGACCTGGCACCATGCCACCAAGCTCAACCACAGCCCTCTCTGCACCCCACCAGGCAGATAGAACCACCAGAGGAGTCTGGTTTCCCTTTAGTTACAGACGGGGGTGGCCATCATCACACCCCTCTAATCCTGATGTACCACGGCCAGGGAGCCACATGCAGCCAGTGGCCTCACAGGGCTATGGTTAACTCTGGACACACATCCACTATGCAGTCACGGACTAATATAGGCAGAAGCCCAGAATGCTCTCTGGCTGATAGCTCTGCCTTCTGTTACTCAGCACTCAGTTGGAAGTATGCTAAGTCATCAGCATGCTTCCACTTCACCCAGTCTCCTGGGAGGATCAAAACCAAATCCTACTGTCTATTGCAGCATCTGGCTTTAGCCTAGGTTTTCTGGAATAACTATACCCCCCACCCCCACTGTAAGTTGATTGTGTTTGAAATCTAGACTGCTACTGCTATACCCCTAGCACTTAGAAGAGTAGACAGTCTAGTGTCCATGTTGATAAATCGTTGGTTAGGGTTCTAGCACATGCTGCCTTTATTAAAAACTGTCCCAAACCCATTTACAAAAGCAGTAGCTAGTGCAAGGGTGTGTGGCTTATAGTGGGGGGCAGGCTGGACTTGAAACTAGAGAAAGCCTAATTCTTGCTTATTTCAAAGGTTCATTCCAGGGGTGTGAGTGAGGTATTAGCTACATGTGCTTGGGGACATCAAAGTACCCTGGACCCCTCCAGTCAGAGAAAAGGGGTCTGGGAAGTCTTTCATGCCAGGATATTCAAAATGCATCTGTGGCCGGGCACAGTGGCTCATGCCTGTAATCCCAGCACTTTGGGAGGCTAAGACAGGAGGATTGCTTGAGGCCAAGAGTTCAAGACTAGTCTGGGCAACATATTGAGCTACAAAAAATTTAAATATTTTTCTTTTCCTACAAAAAATTTTAAAATTAGCTGGGTGTGGTGGCACACACCTGTAGTCCCAGCTACTTGGCAGGGCTGAGGTGAGAGGATCACTTGAGCCTGGGAGGTTGAGGCTGCAGTAAGCCTCATCCCACCACTGCACTACAGCCTGAGCAGTACAAGAGACTGTCTCAAAAAAATAGTAACATTTTAAAAAATTTAAAAAGAATAATAAAGTGCACCTGTAAGCACTATACAGTGTGTTTTCCCAACTCTGTCCCCTGAGAAGGCCTAGAAGCAACTGTACCACAATAACAGTAAGCATACCTTGTGCCTAGATTTTGGTACCTAAATACCATTCTCCACTAAAAAGCCAGACAAGAGGAACCAACAGATGTTAAAAGTAGTGGATTAAAGTTTGATGAGGAATAAGATATTTATATAGTCTCAAAGCATCATCCCACAAAATACTTGTTAATAAGTACATGATACTCATTAACTTTACAATGGAAAAACCTGCAGGTACTATCTTTTTTTGTTTTGGTTTTGGTTTTGAGACAGGGTTTCACTCCCATTGCCCAGGTTAGAGTGCAATGACACAATCTTGGCTCACTGCAACCTCCCCCTCCTGGGCTCAAGCGATTCTCCTGCCTCAGCCTCCCGAGAAGCTGGGACTACAGGCACACATCACTGCACCCAGCTAATTTTTGTATTTTTTGTAGAGACAGAGTTTTGCCATGTTGCCCAGGCTGGTCTTGAATTCTCGAGCTCAAGCCATATGCCCCTCCTTGGCCTCCCAAAGTCCTGGGATCACAGGCACATGAGCCACTGCACCTGGCTAGCAGGTACCATCTTAATCGAATGATAAACATTAACATCACCAGGAATGGAACAACATGGTGTGCTTCCTGATATGATGCACTGAGAATGGAGAACCAGTTCCATGGAATTTTCTCCAAAAATGCAGATTCAGGTATGCAACCTGAGTCTTATGAGGAAATATCAAAACCCAAATTGAGGACATTCTATAAAGTAACTGGCCAGAAATCATCAAGAACGTCAAGGTCACAGAAGGCAGTTATGGATTGGAGGAGACTACAGAGACTGGGTCACTCAATTCAGCGTGCAGTCCTGGATCAGATCACAGTTGATAAAGGACGTTTTTGGAATGATCAGGGTTCTGTGGACTAGTTGATAGTATTTAACACCCTTCTGGACAAATCAATGTCAATTTCTTGATTTTGTTAGTCGTATTTGGTTGTGTGGGAGAGTATCCTCATTTTAAGGAAATATACACAGAAGTATTAAGTGGTAATGGGGTATCATGTCCCCAACTTACTATCAAATGGTTTAGAAAAAAATGCAAAAATAGGCCAGGCAAGCGGGGGTTATGCCTGTAATCCCAGCACTTTGGGAGGCCAAGGTAGGAGGATCACTTGAGCCCAGGAGTTTGAGACCAGCCTGGGCAACATAGTGAGACCCTGTCTCTATAAAAAAATTAAAAAATATTATCTGGGCATGGTGGTGCACGTCTGTAGTCCCAGGTGCTTGGGAGGCTGAGGTGAGAGGATCACTTGAACCCAGGAGGCTGAGGCCACAGTGAGCCATGATCACACCACTGCACTCCAGGTGACAGAGGAAGACCCTATCTCAAAAAAAAAAAAAAGTAATAGTAGAGATACAGAGTGAATAATAAAATGTAGTGAACTGGATTTGTTTTTGTTTTTGTCTTGAGGCGGAGTTTCACTCTTGTTGCCCAGGCTGGAGTGCAATGGCGTGATCTTGGCTCACCACAACCTCCACCTCCTGGGTTCAAGCAATTCTCCTGCCTCAGCCTCCCGAGTAGCTGGGATTACAGGCATGCGCCACCACACCTGGCTAATTTTGCATTTTTAGTAGAGACAGGGTTTCTCCATGTTGGTCAGGCTGGTCTGGAACTCCCAACTTCAGGGGATCTGCCCGCCTTGGCCGCCCAAAGTGCTGGGATTATAGGCGTGAGCCACCACCCCCGGCTAAGAGTTTTGTGTTGTTGTTGTTGGTGTTGAGATAAGAGTCTTGCTCCGTCTCCCAGGCTGGAGTGCAGTGGCACCATCTTGGCTCCCTGCAGCCTCCACCTCCTAGGTTCCAGGGATTCTCCTACTTCAGCCTCCCGAGTAGCTGGAATTACAGGCATGCGCCACTACGCTCAACTAATTTTTTTATTTTTAATAGAGACGGGGTTTCACCACGTTGACCAGGCTGGTCTTGAACTCCTGACCTCAACTGATCCTCCTGCCTCAGCCTCACAAAGTGCTGGGATTACAGGTGTAAGCCACTGCACCCGGCAAGTATTTTTTAAAGTACTACTAAAAGAGTCCTTCCCTTTATTTCTACCTGACTCCCTGACTATCCTACCAACTGTATGGTCTATGTGCCTTTGGGAGAACTTTCATTCTTCCAGCTATCATTGCACCTAGCCTGGAACAAAAGACTGGAAGAAAATACATTTAATATTTTCGGCTGGGCGCTTGAACCTGGGAGGCAGAGGCTGCAGTGAGCCGAGATCGCGCCACTGCACTCCATCCTGGGCAACAGAGCGAGACTCTGTCTCAAACAAAAAAAAAATTTTCATTGTCTCTCTGCCTAACCACTCACTCGCTCGCTCCTCCAATGCTTACTTGACGCTTCTAAAGGCAGAGGGCAGAGATGAAGAGGAAGGTGCCAGTTACAGGAGAGACGCAGAACCATGGCCCAGGGAGGCTAAATGTTTGGTTCAGAGACCCCAGAGCGTTTACGGAAGCCTCTTGGCCAGAAGGGATTGATAAGAACCAGGCAAAACAAATCCAAAAAGATAACTGACGTCAGGACCGGGGGAAATGTCCCAACAGGGAACTGAGTGGGGCAGTGACCACCAGCCATAGGGAAGGATACCAAGAAGCCAAAGGCTTGAGTGGTAACATGTTGTTCCCATTTCACAGCCCTTTATAGTTTACAAAGGAGCTTCTAGGACAATGGTGGAGTGGGCTGGTAAACAATTCTGATTAAGAACATCTAGAGGTGAACAAAATATAACAAAAACAAGTTTCACGCATGACTGGAATAGGAAACAAGAAAGGGAATCCCAGGTATGACAGTCAGAGTCAGAAGGTTGACTAGCACTTGCATTTTATTTATTTATGAGATGGGGTCTTGCTATGTTGCCCAGGCTGGAGTACAGTGGTGCAATCATGACTTACTGCAGCTTCAACCTCCTAGGTTCAAGTGATTTTGTAATTTTGTATTTTTTGTGGATTTGGAGTTTTGCTATGTTGCTCAGGCTTCTCTCAAACTCCAAGGCTCAAGTGATCCACCCACTTTGGCCTCCCAAAGTGCTAGGATTACAGGTGTGAGCCACTGTGCCCAGCCCTTAGGACTTGCATTTTATTTTTTAAATTAATTTAAATTAATTTTTTTTTTTTTGAGATGGAGTCTCTCTCTGTCACCCAAGCTGGAGTGCAGTGGCATGATCTCAGCTCACTGCAACCTCCGCCTCCCAGGTTCAAGCAGTTGTCCTGTCTCAGCCTCCTGAGTAGCTGGGATTACAGGCACCCGCCACCATGCCTGGCTAATTTTTTGTATTTTTAGTAGAGATGGGGTTTCACCATGTTGATCAGGCTGGTCTCGAACTCCTGACCTCAGGTGATCCACCCGCCTCGGCCTCCCAAAGTCCTGGGATTACAGGCATGAGCCACCACCCCTGGCCGGGACTTGCATTTTAAATGTCCACTTGGGGACAAAAGAGCCGACCTCATGGTGAGGACTGGAACGAACACTTAAACAATGGAAGTATTCACACAGAAAAAGAGAAGGAGAAAAGCTCGTTGTGGTCAATAACAAAACACACAAGCAGACAGTATGCTATGAGAGTAAAATATGCAACAAACAAAAAGCAAAATTACAAGGCAAAATTGGCAAATCCACAAAGCAGAAGATTTTAAACTCTAATTTCCCAAAATTAGAAAAAACATGTTTAATCACAAATGGAATATTTATGAAAATTAACCACATGCTAGCCCTAACCAAGTCTCAGTATATCAAAAGAGCAAGATGATGAACCATGATCTCTGATCATAGTGTAATAAAATTAGACCAAGCACAGTGACTCACGCCTGTAATCCCAGCACTTTGGGAAGCCGAGGCAAGTGAATCATCTGAGGTCAGGAGTTCAAGACCAGCCTGGCGAACATGACAAAACCCATCTCTACTAAAAATACAAAAATTAGCTGGGCGTGGTGGCAGGCTCCTGTAATCCCAGCTGCTCGGGAGGCTGAAGCATGAGAATCGCTTGAACCTGGGAGGTGGAGGTTGCAGTGAGCTGAGATCACGCCACTGCACTCCAGCCTGGGTGACAGAGTGAGACTCTGTCTCCAAAAAAAAAAAAAAAAAAAAAAAATTAGAAGGCAATAATAGAATCACTTCCCTCACAAAAATCCTAGAGCTTGGAAATTTCAAAACATTCAGAAGCTTAAAAATGGGATTTAATAAATATGTGAAACAGAAAATAAGTGAAAACTCTGTGCAGTCTTTTGGGATGCAACTCTAATAAAACTTAGACATGTATGATTTTTAAGGCCAGGCACTGTGGTTCACAGCTGTAATCCCAGCACTTTGGGAGGCCAAGAAAGGCAGATCGCTTGAGCTCAGGAGTTCGAGACCAGCCTGGGCAACGTGGTGAAACCCTGTCTCTACTGAAAAAAATACAAAAATTAGCCAGGCATGGTTGTGCACACCTGTGATCCCAGCTACTGGTCAGGCTGAGGTGGGAGGATCACTTGAGCCTGGGAGATGGAGATTGCAGTGAGCCATGTTCACACCACTGCACTGCAGCTTAGGCGACAAAGCAAGACGTTCTCAAAAAAAAAAAAAAAGAAATGTATGATTTTTAATATCTGTATTAGTAAATAATAAAGATTTAGAAAGAATGAGATAAGTGTTTAAGAAGCTAGCAAAAGCCCACTCTCCCCCAAAAAAGATACAAGGTAGGAAAAATTTTTTAAATAACAGCAAAATAAAACTGACTCAAGGAGAAATAAAGTTTAGTGCAAACCACCTCATCTCATTGGGCTTCACAACAGTGCTGTGCAGGACTGTTAGGACTGCAGTTTTATGCCTGAGCATACCAATACTTGAGGAAGTTAAGAAAGTAGTAAAGGCCAGGCACGGTGGCTCACGCCTGAAATCCTAGCACTTTGGGAGGCCAAGGCGGACAGATTGCCTGAACTCAGGAGTTCAAGACCAGCCTGGGCAACACGGTGAAACCTCATCTCTATTAAAATAAGTGGCAGCATGCACTTGTATTCCCAGCTACTTGGGAGGCTAAGGCAGAATTGCTTGAACCCAGGAGGCAGATGTTGCAATGAGCCGAGATCGCACCCCTGCACTCCAGCCTAGGTGACAGGGAGACTCCGTCTCAAAAAAAAAAAAAAAAAAAAAAAAAAAAGAGAGCAGTGGAGACTGCACTTAAACTCAGGTCTTCTAGATCCACTCTGATGTTCTTTCCATTTTTAGGTCACACTCTTCTCATCACGGGTTGTCTTCCCTGGGCCACGGCGCCTTGCACTTTTCCATATAGGAATGGTCCCGGATGAGGGAGGGCTATTGGGAAGTCTTCACCTTTCACGGTACTCTGCCCCTCCCTTCCTAAAAACTTGTGCCTTCTGCATGGAAACCATGCATGGACTGACTCCTGAATCACGGGACACTGTGGGAGACAGAAATGTGGGGTGGAGGAGAAAGAAGCGCTCCTGTTAGAGAATGCTGTTGTCCTTTGGTCCTTTGAACATCCTCCTATATCTGTTGCTGTTAAGCTCAGACTTGTCTTAATCTTTCCTTTCCTTTTTTTTTTTTTTTTCTTTTTGAGACGGAGTCTCCCTATGTTGCCCAGGCTGGTCTCAAACTCCTGAACTCTAGGGATCCTCCCACCTCAGCCTCCCAGTGGGCTGGAATTACAGTTGTGAGTCACCATGCCCAGCCTTAATTTCTTCCTTTCCTTCCCTTCCCCTTCCCCTTTCCCTTTTTCTTTTCTGCCTGCCTTCTTTTCTTCTTTCTTTTTTCACAGTCTTGTTCTGTCACCCAGGATGGAGTGTGGTGACACAATCTCAGCTCACTGCAACCTCCACATCCCGGGTTCAAGTGAGTCCCCAGCCTCAGCCTCGCAAGTAACTGGGACTACAGGCACACACCACCACACCCGGCTATTTTTGGTATTTTTTAGAAGAGACAGGGGGTTTCACCACGTTGGCCAGGCTGGTCTCAAACTCCTGGGCTAAAATGATCCACCCACCTCGGCCTCCCAAAGTGCTGGGATTACAGGTGTGAGCCACTGGTCCCAGCTCAGCCTTAATGTTTTCTTTTTCATAAATATATTCATCAATCTAATTCGTGTAATCATCTCTTTGATGGCTGCGAAGCTCTTTGTTGGCTGAGCATAGATTTGCCTTTTAATAATTTGTTTCTGCATCTGAGCGGGTAAAAACTGTTCTGGTCTACCCTCACTGAGGCTGTGTGGAGGAAATGGTGAATGTTTCCTCCTCTTTCCTCTCACCTCTGAGCCCACTATTGTCCCCCTGGTCAACCACCTTTTCTCTGGCCTCAACACCAAGCAAAGGGGTGAGTGAATATCAGCCTGGTGAGCAGCTCAAGCAATTCTGCAACTAACAGAAGGCCACCTCCTCATTCTTTGACCCCTTCCTGTGACAGAGACTCCCTGAGGTCCGCAGCCGGGCTCTGCCTCATGAGGAACAGAGCCACGGAGATAAATGGGAGGGGTCCTTGGCTCAGCAGCAAGGAGTGGGGGAGGGGAGGAGGCCAACAATCAATGAAAATAGTCAGCATTGGGTGGGATTGATCTGGAGTGAGGAATTAATAGAGCAAATCACTGCTGGGCCTGCTTAGCTGTGACTAAGCAGAGACTTCCCTGACTTCATTGCTGCCTGAGTTGAGCAGCAGCCAGGAGGGAGGTGGGGACAACAGGGAGACCTAAAGAAGAAATGGGGGGGAGGAAGCTCCAGGAGACAGGGCCGGCCAGGGCCAGGGGCTCTTGACTCCAGCTTGGTTCCCCAGAGGGTAGGTCTTGGGGGCCCTGGGGGACCAACTGGGATACTTGGTAAATGGAGCACTGGGGGGTAAGAGACAGGGAGAGGGAGAGCCCTGGCACTTGTTCCAACCCAAAGAAGCCCTCTGTTGTTTTCCCTCTAGAAAACAAACTAGTTTGTTTTAAAAAATAAACTTTTTTTTTTGAGACAGAGTCTTACTCCATCGCCCAGGCTGGAGTGCAGTAGCACGATCTTGGCTCACTGCAACCTCTGCCTCCCGGGTTCAAGGGATTCTCCCGCCTCAGCCTCCCAAATAATTGGGATTACAGGCACCGGCCACCACGCCCAGCTAATTTTTGTATTTTTAGTAGAGACAGGGTTTTGCCGTGTTGCCCAGGCTGGTCTCAAACTCCTGACCTCAAATGATCCACCTGCTTCAGCCTTCCAAAGTGCTGGGATTACAGGCGTGAACCACCACACCCGGCCTAAAAGTAAGCTTTATTTTTACAATTTTAGATTTACAAAAAAAATTGTGAAGATAGTACAGAGTTTCCAGGTCCATAGTACAGAGACCTCATAACCCCCTGCTGTAGTTTGAATGTGTTCCTCCACGTTCATGTGTTGGAAACACAATCTGCAGTGCGACAGTGTTAGTAGGTGGGTCCTAATAGCTGATGAGGTCATAAGGGAGAATGGATTAACATTATCATGGTAGTAGGCCTGTTATAAAAGCAAAGTCGGCCCCCTCTTGTTCTCTAACACATGCTCTTGTGCCCTTTTATCTCCCACCATGTTGTGACGCAGCAAGAAGACACTCACCAGATGCAGTCCCTCAACCTTGGACTTTCCAGCCTCCAGAACTGTAAGAAATAAATTTCTTTTCTTTTCTTTTCTTTTTTTTTTTTTTTGAGCTGGGGTCTGGCTCCATTGCCGAGGCTAGAGTGCAGTGGTGCAATCTTGGTTCACTGCAACCTCTGCCTCCCAAGCTCAAGTCTTGTGCCTCAGCCTCCTGAGTAGCTGGGACTATAGGCATACACCACGCCAAGCTAATTTTTGTATTTTTCCTAGAAATGGGGTTTCACCATGTTGGCCAGGCTGGTCTCGAACTCCTGGCCACAAGTGATCTACCCACCTCAGCCTCCCAAAGTGCTGGGATTACAGGTGTGAGCCACCACACCAGTCTCTCTTTTCTTTATAAATTACTCAGTCCATGGTATTCTGTTATAGCCACACAAAATAGACTAAGACACCCCCTCACCCAGCGTTGCCTCTTATTGACATCGATATTAGTATGGTACCTCTGTTGAAATTGATGGGCCAGGCTGCCTCAGCTCCACACTCTGAAGAGAGGTGGGGAAGGCACTGCAGTAGGAGAAAGACTTCAAGGCCCCAGTGAGCTGTTGGGTGCAGGAGACACAAGAGGCTGGAGGGCCAGCAGGAGGCTGGGACCAAGGTCCCAGCGATCCCTGAGATCGAGTCCCTCTTTCTTGCAGCAGCTGCTCTCTCCAGGCCATAGGACTGGCCTCAGAAACTCCCCCACTGTCACCAGCCCTGCTTGCCACTCTCCCACTCCCAGCCAGACTCCTCCTCATCTTTCCCTGCCAGGCCTGCTCACCAGCACCCGCAATCCTCATGAACCAGCCCCTCCTGCCCCTGTAGCTCTCTGCTGCTCTTCTTGGGGCACGCAGCCATCTCTTGGCAGCCTGTTAGCCCAGCAGAACCTGGAATAAAATCTCCCTTCCAGGAGCCAGGTGTCAGGGTCAGAGGGAAGAAGACACTCCTGGGGTACAATCCCACCTAACAGGACTTCTCTCTTTGTTCTGCCTCATTTGGGCCTGGCCATCCAGGCCTTCCTTTCCTGTCCAGCCTCTCCCCTCATCGATTACTTGTAAACCTATTTGCATTTCCTTGTGCAGAGAGCTGCTTGCTTCTCCTCCGGGCAAATCCCCTGAGGTGATCGTCCAAGAGGATTTCTGCTATCTCCCAAGGCTCTGAGTGTCCCAGTTGTCCCCTAGGCCTACCCGAGGGTGGGGCAGCTGCCAAGGATGCCCCCTGGGCTTGAGAGGCTTGCGTTGGCCCCTCCACCTTTCCTTTGTGCTGTACGGTGCCTTTCTCCACGTCCTCGCTTCTTCCTGGATACTCTACGCCACAACGGGCGGAGCAGATGTTACTCTTCCATTTTATAACACAGAGAGAGGGTAAACACCCCGGCCCAAGGCCCACAGATGGTCAGGTCATCCTATTAGATGCTTTCACGGTTTCTTACAGCATGCCTCCAAGTTCACAGGACATTTGCAATTTTATATTTTATTTGTATGGTTACTTAAATGCTGTCTTTCCCTCCAGACTGTAAGTGCCATGAGAACAGGGAACTTGGGGCCAGGCGCGGTGGCTTACACCTATAATCCCAG
This sequence comes from Homo sapiens, assembly GCF_000001405.40. Lineage (NCBI taxonomy): Eukaryota > Metazoa > Chordata > Mammalia > Primates > Hominidae > Homo > Homo sapiens. Next base: position 74,265,261 of record NC_000014.9, on the reverse strand, counting down.
CACTTTGGAAGGCTAAGGCAGGCAGATCATTTGAGGTCAGGAGTTCGAGACCCCATCTCTATGAAAAATACAAAAATTTAGCCAGATGTGGTGGCATATGCCTGTAATCCCAGCTACTCAGGAGGCTGAAGTAGAATTGCTTGAACCCAGGAGGCGAAGGTTGCAGTGAGCCGAGATTGTGCCACTGCACTCTGGCCTGGGTGACAGAGTAAGACTCTGTCTCAAAAAGAAAAAAAAAAAACAGGGAATCTGGGACTGCTTTGCCTACTACTATATCCCCAGTGCCTTGCCCCACTGCCTGATACATATTAAATGCTCAGTCATTATTTTTAAATTATTGAATAAATGATGAATTATAGGCAGAACATTCATCTGTGCATTCAATAATGGATTGAGGGTCAGGCCCTTTGATGGGTCCTGGGATAAAAGAAGAAGAAGATGTAGTGCCACCCTTGAAGAAATCCGTCTTATGGGAAAGATAGACTTGTAAATAAAAAAATTACATAATCCCAGTACTTCGGGAGGCTAAGGCAGGCAGATCACGAGGTCAGGAGTTCAAGACCAGCCTGACCAGCCTGACCAACATGGTGAAACCCTGTCCCTACTAAAAATACAAAAATTAGCTCAGCATGGTGGCACGCACCTATAATCCCAGCTACTCAGGAGGCTGAGGCAGGAGAATTCCTTGAACCCAGCAGGCGGAGGTTGCAGTGAGCCGAGATCCTGCCTCTGCACTCCGGCCTAGGCGACAGAGTGAGACTCCATCTCCAAAAAAAAAAAAAAATTACAACACAACGTGGAAAATGCCATAATCAGGAATGTCCCAAGTGCTGTCAGAGAACAGAGGTTATAAACTTGCTGGCTGGGCGCAGTGGCTCATTCCTGTAATCCCAGCACTTTGGGAGGCTGAAGTGGGAGGATTGCTTAAGCCCAGGAGTTCAAGACCAGCCTGGGCAACATAGTGAGACCTCATCTCTACTAAAAATCAGCCAGCATGATGCACACCTGTAGTCCCAGCTACTCGGCAGGCTGAGTTGGGAGGGCACCTTGATCTGAGAGCTCAAGGCTGCAGTGAGCCATGATCACAACACTGCACTCCAGCCTGAGCAACAGCAGGACCCTGTCTCAAAAATAAATAAATCAGCAAATAAATACACTCTTCCTGGAAGGTCAGGAGGGCTTCGGAGGGGAGGGGACTGGAAGGTTGACAAGTGGTTTACTTCCTGGAGGGTTGGAGAAAGACATTCCCAGACCGAGGATGAATCCTGCAGGAGCTGACATGCCGGGGAAGGCCTGGGAGCAGCCTGGCACGGCAGGACTTGAAGCCAGGCTCATGGCTCTTTCCCATCCCCACACAGGAGCTGGAGATTTCCCACATGTGCCCCTCAGGGTCCTGGTCTGCGAGGACCACATCTGGGTCCAATCCAGGGTATTAGGACTGCTGACCTCCTGTCATTCTCCTTCGCTGATGGGCTGCCAGAAACCTCATCCACGAGGGAGTTCACATCTAAGCCAATTTGAAACAATCTTACGAGATTTCTTGGGCCCAAATCTCAAATACAGCCTATCTCATCTGCTCACCCCGCTCTCTCATCTCGTAATTCCATCCATCACATCATCAAGTCGGTGGGTCACAGCTGTCAGTAGACAATTTCATATGGTCTTCCTCGAGCTGTTTCTCTTTGACTCTCCTTCCCTTTGACACGGATTTAGCATAATCTGTCTGGCTTTCAACTCCAGATACTGTTACCTCTTTCGTTTGTTGTTGTTTAGGTTGAGGGTAAGATGTGGAAGGGCACAGGTGTGCACAAAAGGAAGGGAGTTCTCTTGGGGGCCAAGGTGGGCTGTGAGCTTCCGCAGAGGGCAGTAGGAAACAGGGTTATCAGTAAGTCAGTACCAAGGAGAGAGGCAAATGCCGACTACTATGTGGGGAGTAGGAGGGAGTCAGAGGTAAGAACTATGGATCGTTGGGACATTTAGGTTGTGTCGATCATGGAGGCCAATCCCATGTCACAGTGACGAATGTCATTGAAGGGTGGTATCGGCTCAGTGGAGAGACGTAGGCCACTTGTACCTCTACAATTAGAGTAATTTTTTAAAAAAGGAACCCAGTAATTTTGACCTAAAATATCAACTTGTAGATTTACTTTTTTTTTTCGAGACAGGGTCTTGCTCTGTTGCCCAGGTTGGAGTGCAATGGCATGATCTCAGCTCACTGCACCCTCAACCTCCCGGGTTTAAGCAATCCCCCTGCCTCAGCCTCCTGAGTAGCTGGGATTACAGGAGTGTGCCTCCACCCCTGGCTACTTTTTATATTTTTAGTAGACACAGGGTTTCACCATGTTAGCCAGGCTGGTCTCGAACTCCTGACCTCAAGTGATCTGCCCACCTAGGCCTCCCAAAGTGCTGAGATTACAGGCATGAGCCATCGCACCCAGCCGTAGATTTACTTTTTATGCCACCCATACACACGGAACACAAACCATTCCCCACCCACAGTGGACTCCTGGATTTCTCCCCTACTATTTTTAAGTCAATTTTATTCTTACTTGTATCTTTACAGAAAATGGCACAGAAATCACAGGTTTCGAATACCTAGAAGTTATTACAGTTCCATATTTCAAACACCTCAATATCAAGTTTCTTTCTTCTCACTCTATGTACATTATTTACACACCAGGGGCTATAGTCTAACACTTCAAACCAACAGGGACAAAGACAAGAAGAACCGGACTAGGGGGAGGGAAGTTCCATAAATGGAATGAAGAAGAAATCAACTTTTGATATGGAATTAAAAAGTTGCAACGCACTGTCTCAGGCCATTCTCTAACGAGGTATTCCCTGCAAAGGTGGGTGGGGTGGTGGATAGGTGGATGGGGTCGGGAGCCTGGCCTGGGAATCTGGATCGGGCAGGTCAACAGGGCTATGTGCTCCCATTGTTCATGCGAATGGAAAAGGCCAGGCCGGAGAGGTCACCATACACAGGTCCACCCATCAGCCAGCAGAAAGAAGCCCCAGCTCCTTATTCCATCATGGTTACCGTGTTTTAGTCTAGTGAACGTGCTTCCTGGCATGCACTGGCATGAAGGCGTGTGTGCCTGCAGCTTAGCTTGGGCTTACTCCTGGCCTTCTGCCTTGCTTTCCTTCCAGCCTTTTTCCCATCCTTCTGAACAGGTCAAAGGCTTGCTCTGAGAGGTGCTCAGCCCTAGCCCCTTAGCCCCCTGTCTGTCTGGAGTGAAGGTTTCTCCAGCAGGCCCTTAATGCGTATGCATAGCCCCAGGCCTACTCCAGGCTTGGCTTCTCAGTTGAGGCCAGGCCTGTGGCTTCGTAGATGTCATTTACCAGCCAGATTGGGTTGTTCAAGGCAGGGCACATGTGAACTCATAGTTTGCAAGGAGCTGTGGGGGCAGGTGCCTTCATGGCAAGTCAAGGTCACAAGCAGCATATCACGAGAGTCGAGATTCTTCAGGACACAGGCTCAGGGGCCCGAGGACCCAGGGTAGAAGGTTTGGACTCCTGAACAGTGCAGTGAACCACAGCATTTGTGAGGCATAGGACATGGACTCATGGCACGCAGCGTACATCACCACATGCCACATAGGTGCCTGTGCTGGGAGGAGCCAGTGGGACAGGCTGGGTGTGGAGAGGGTGGGTTCCTGAGGGTGACCATGGCGGGGCATGAGACCAAGGGTGGCTGAGGGGCCCAGGCTGAGACTTCCCAACTGTAGCCTGCCATCTGGACTCCACTGATGGGTGGGGCAGAGGCTGGGCCTGCCTGGGCCTGCACAGTGTCTTCACACTGTGGAAGCCCAGGCCCAGCCAGGTCTGCAGGAAGGAACAGGCTGAGTTGGGAGAAGACTTTTACTGAGGAGTGGGGTGCTGAGGACGCTGGAGTTGCAGTTCCAGTCCTCCGTCTGTGTCACAGCCATGGCAGGCAATTCACAATGCATTTGCAGCAATGGGCTTTAGGCATGGGCAGAGCAGAATGTAGAGCTGGGAAGGAGGACTCTTTAAAGCAAGAGAACAGAGAGCAAGGGGTGGCCAAAACCAGTGAGCGTTGCAAAGGGATTGAGAGAAGGGGCTTGAGGGGACGTTGTGGGCAGCAAGAAGGCTTCTGAGGCTGGGATGCTGGAGAGGTCAAGACTAGATGAGGGATGTCTCAGCATGGTCCAGAGTCAGAACCCAGCGGTGCCTGCAGCCACCAGGGGTGATGGAGGACCTGTGGGGAACAGGGAGGATGGCAGAGGCCAGGTCTGGGCCTTGCCTCAGAGAGCATCTCCCAGCACCACAGGGCCCGAGGAGAGCAGAGTCTTGGGGCTCCGGCATCTGAGCGCGCCTTGACCTAAGCCATGTCCTCCAGCTGCGGTGGACTGAGCCTCTCCGCCGGCCTGTCTTCATCCATGGCCTCCTCCTCCTCTGGCTTCTCGGTACTCCGGGCCAGGCTGTCCGGCCCAGACACAGTCCCCAGCACTTTGGTGCTGTGCTCCTGAGCTTTGGCCCGGAGCACCGCAATGCTGTTCTCCCTCAGTTCCTCCTGGGAGATGGCCGCCTGAGCGTCGGGGCCCCGCTCGTCCTGCTCCATCTTGTCGAGCTTGGGCAGGGCCTGGCGTTCCCCCTCGGGCTTCCTCCCCGACTCGGCTGCTGCCTCCAGCGACTTTTTGTGCATCCCTAGAAAGAATTGTTGGTATTCGGGTTTAGAAAAGCGCCTGGGAAAGCCATCTTGAACTGAAAACGGCAAAGATAGAGAGAGGCCAGAATTAAGGACGAGCAGAAAGCCTTACTCCCCACACCGCAGTCACACAAGTCCCAGGGCTGGACCAGGGTCAGGGAATGGGGAGATGGGTCGCCAGCCCTGTGGAGGACCTCCCCCTGCCAAAGCCCTGGGCACCTGGGCCTCGGGTGGCCTGTTCTGTCCCTTCCAGGCCACAGCACATGCTCCCCTGTCCCTCCCCCATGGGATTCCGGATCTTAGAACCCCAAGAGGAGCTGGTGCTGTTCTCAGATATAGGCCCAGAGGGCAGGTGGGGAAGTTGGCAGGTGGGGAAGATAGCAAGTAGAGAGATTTGGGGGACAGAAGTCCTTTGGGCTAAGCAGAATGGCAGCCAGAGGGACCTAGGGGTTCTCTCAACCCCCAGGGAAGACTGTTTTGTTCAATATAAACCCACCTCTGGCCAAGGGGAGAGGAGGGTACAGACCCCAGGCCAACAGCCACACTGTTCTCACAGGACAAAATAATCCACAGTTAGGGACTCGTTCATGATGAGAGTTCTTGGCACCCAGTGCAAGTGACAGACACCAGGCCCCAGGCCCACCCTGCTCTGAGTCCCCCAGGATAGACCAAGAGGTTTGCTTTGAAGAATTTCTCTCCTGCTAGGCTGCTGTGGCCCAAGTGCCCCTGCCTCAAGGCTCTGTCCCCTCCTCCAAGGAGCCCGCTCTCCTCACCGCAGGGCAGGACCCCAAGGAGGGTGCGGGCTCTTACCCAGTAGCCACGGGGCACAGGAGTCCATGATGCCATCCTTGGCTGACTTGAGGATGGACTCGGGCAGGGGGATGGAGTGCCGCACCATGGCCCCGTAGAGCCCATACTCCGCCATGACACTGCTCCGGCCCCAGCACTTCTCCCGCTTCCTCCACTTGGCTCGACGGTTCTGGAACCAGACCTGCAGGTGCACAGAACAGGTCAGAGGCTTGCTCTGAGAGGTGCTGGGCCCAAGGCCCTTACCCCTTGTAGGCTTGGAGTGAAGATTTCTCCAGCAGGGCGTCCTTAACCTAAGCTCGCCTACTCCATGGTGCCCTCTGTGTTCCTCCAGGCTCAGGGAGTATTCAGAAGGAGGACATCAGTCTTATGAGAATATCATGGGTAGTTCTAGGGAGATGGGGTATGGATGCTTCCTGGACAGGGTCTTGCAGGTGCGCAGGACCCAGTGTCATCGACTGTTTGCAGCTGAGAAGCCTGCCCTGCCACTGATGGCTCTCTTGCATGTGTTCACACCTCCAGCATATAAATCTTTTTTTCTGATTTGCAGAGGGACAAATTCCTTTCCCAGCACTGGACTAGCAGTGTCTCTGGCTCAGGGCTTCCTCTCTGCCAGAAGCCCAGAGTCACAACCATCCAGGAGGGCTGCAGGTGAGTGAGGGATCAGGGACAAAGGGCAGGGGACAGTCTTAGGGGCACTTCACCCAGGTATCAGGAAGGCTGGGAACTCAGGGAGGGAGACTCCCCTCGGAGGCCTGGGTCAGCCTGCCTCCTCCACCCTGTCCCAGCTAAGCTCTGCCAAACCACATGTGCCCTCCAGGTACCTGCTCCCCACAGCTCCGAGCCTAACTCTGAATAGTATTTGGGGAGCTGGACCAGGGATGAAGATAACATTCTCCAGGGTTGAGGAGCAAATGGGAGGAGGGACCTGGGAGGGAGTGGGGGCGGAGGAAGCACTAGCGAATGTGTCTCTGGCCCCAAAGCTGATTGGTGCAGGGTCTGAATGACAGTGGGGTACCCTGGGGTGTCTGCAGCACTCTAGCCCATTCTAGGATCCCAGAATCCCTGCCAAGTTTGAGGAGGGAACATTTCTTGGTCCCCCAGAGCAGCTTTCCGGAGATTTCCCGCAGCTGACAGAGCCGGGAGCCCCTCGCATTGTCCGCCAAGGAGGTCCAGGCCCGCGGGGTAATGGTGCGCCCCAAGCCTGGCGGTTCCCTTCTCGCCCCTCACAGTCCTTAAAGGCTCAGACCCCGGGGGCAGCGAGTCGCCCCAGGGAAGTCGAGGGAGTCGGGAGGGGAGGACCGAGGCGGGCTTGGGAAATCTGTTCATTTCCTCCCGATTTCCTTGCCTGGGTCTGGGCCGGCGCCGCCCTTCCCTCCGGGCCCCCTCCCCCGCGGCAGAGGTATCAGCTTTTAATGAAAAATTGCTCCAGCTCTATTCAGGAGGCGGCAAAAGAAGAGTCACCCCCAGGGGCAGCCCTGGGCTGATTGAAAAATAAGTTAATTTCAGTTTGAATCGATGGGCCTCAGGCACTGAAATACCACGGGAAATTAAAGCGGCTGCTCTCCCGGGAGCCGCGGCATTGACCCGCACTAATTAATGCTGGGGAGGCAGCACTCGCCTCGTCGCGAGCGCCCCCGCTTCCCCGGGGACCCCCAACTCTTCTCATTTAACTAATTAGACGGGGAAAATTGGGTGTTAATTTGTTTAGGATTTTCCCCCTTCCCCCCGGCAGCCCCTCGCGGCCCCCGCCCCGCGCGGCGCGGAAATGCATGCGGGCTCGGCGGCAGATGGCTGCCCGGGTCACGCTGCAATCTCCTCCGACTTGATTGCTTGATTAGGTCGTTAGCACATTAAAAAAAAATTGCTTGCCGTCTGGCGCTGGCGTGATGAGTGGGACGCTCGGCAGCGCCTGGGTAATTTATCTTTTTATACGGCGAAGAATTTGATTTCAATCTGCAGATATATGGGGCGCCTTTGACACCTGTTTAACATCGCGCCGCTGACAGCTTAACCCTTCGCTTCCTGGGGAGCGGGAGCTGGGGCCGGCGGGGCTCGGGGGAAGTGGGTGGGGGGTGGTCCGCGCGCTCCTGCGGTTCCCGCCGTTGCCGTCAGGTGGCGAAGTGAGCGCCCGGCGGCGCGGAGTCTGCGGCGGAGCGCGGCCGGCCAATCCCCGGCAGGGGCGCTCCGGCCCGCCAGCCTCGCATCCCACGGAGGTCACAGAACACTGCACGCGCACCTTTAAGTTGACCCAAACGCGTGTCCTCTGGCCTTTATTCATTTGTAAATAACTGGGAGCCTCTAAACATGGGAGCTACACGGCCTTAGATGCCCCCGGCCTCTCCCGCCCCGGGTGGCTCCATCCCCGTTTGGGCAGCACTTTTGCTGCCTCCGGGTTTGGCACCTGCAGTTCCCGCGCAAAACTGGGGGGCTGGGAAGCACAGGTGCAAGGCCTCTGCCTGGTCCGGACCTGACCACCCTGGGAGACCCCCGCCAAGGAAAGGGTTTGTGTAATCCGAAGGCCGCTAGATGACTGTCCTCCCTGCCCTGAAGGGAGTGGCAGCAATGCCAGCCGTGCTAACTCGGGCCTGCGTCCCGGCCTGGCTCCATGCCGTATGTAGATCTCCCCAGCGCCGCGGGCCTGTGCTGCAGGATGTGTGCCCGACTAGCTGTGTTACCCGGGGCCTGCGGTTTGTCTGGGGCCTCAATCCTGCCCCATCATCCTCCCCTTAGCGTATCTGCTTGCTGCAAGCTGCTTTCTCCCACAGAGGAAAAATCCAAAAGGACTAATCTACATAAAAGTATGACTCCCGGCCTGGCGCAGTGGCTCATGCCTGTAATCCCAGCAGTTTGGGAGGCCGAGGCGGGTGGATCACCTGAGGTCAGGAGTTTGAGACCAGCCTGGCCAACATGGGGAAACTCCATCTCTACTAAAGATACAAAAATTAGCCGGGCACGGTGGCGCACACCTGTAATCCCAGCTACTCAGGAGGCTGAAGCAGAAGAATCGCTTGAACCTGGGAGGTGGAGGTTGCAGTGAGCCGAGATCGTGCCACTGCACTCCAGCCTGTGCAACAGAGCAAGACTCTGTCTCAAAAAAAAAAAAAAAAAAAAAAGTATGACTCCCGGTTTTATCCACCTCTCAGAGAAGACAGCAAAGAATGAATCCCCTGGTGATGGAATTCCAGACACCAAGTGTGACCACAGAGGGCTGGAGAGGTTTGGTTCATGAATATAAGAAGCCACCTACTTCCTGGTCGGGTGACAGTCTGTCCTGCTTGAATACAGTGCATTATATTAGGTTGGTGCAAAAACTTATTGCAGTTTTTGCCATTGAAAGTAATTACTTTCGTTTGAGATGGAATCTTGCTCTGTCACCCAGGCTGGAGTGCAGTGGTGTGACATTGGCTCACTGCCACCTCCACCTTCCGCATTCAAGCAATTCTCCTGTCTCAGCCTCCAGCGTAGCTGGGACTACAGGTGCCCGCCACCACACCGAGCTAATTTTTGTATTTTTAGTAGGGACGAGATTTCACCTTGTTGGTCAGGCTGGTCTCGAACTCCTGACCTCAGGTGATCCACCCGCCTTGGCCTCCCAAAGTGCTGGGATTACAGGTGTGAGCCACCGTGCCTGGCCAAAAGTAATTACTTTCAATGGCAAAAACCGCAATGACTTTTGCACCAACCTAATAAAACAAGGCCACAACCCCTCAACTGGCATCTGTGCAGCCAGACTGGAGAATGTTTTGGATTTAAGAAAAAAGATGTGATGCATAAACCACAGTAACATAATGTCCTGCAGCAGCAGCACCTCATGATCAAACCCATCAGCTTCGATTTCTCAGCAAAGCATTTATGTACATGTTCACACTAAAAACGATAAATAAATTCTGTAAGGTCTGGTCCGGTTTTTGCCATCACTGAGTTTTGATGCCAAATTTATAAAAGAGGGTTCTGTTTTCAGTGCAGTTTGGACTTAGGGTTTCTGGAGAAGGCATTGTGGAATATAGAAAGACAGAGATGCCCCCACCCACCCAGTGTGGATACCTGGCAAGGTGCACTGCCCTGGCTTCCCCAGGAGTTCCATGAATACCCATGCTTGAGATGGCGCAGTTTCTCAGATGGAAACAGCATTTTTAGGGTACTAAAGAAGGGGGTGCAGACTCGGGATTCTGATCATCTCTGGGGCCTATAAACAGAACTATTTTCCTGGGTCTCCTAATTTGGGCAAATGAATATCTGGCTGATCTGTAGATCAGACTTTGCCCACAGACTCTCTCCCAGGGGAGCCAGTGCCAGCTGGTCGCTCAAACCAGAAGTCATCCAGACCCTCAGTTATGGGCTCCTGGAATGCCTGGCTCTCTGTGAAGACCAGATGCTGCTCCAATTTATAGAGGAAACCTGGATGGCCAAAACAATTTCTTTCTAAGACAGTTGGCAAGGATGCTATGGCAATGGTGCCTTGGAGGGAAGTGGACAAGGAATTAGAATTAACCCTAACTGCTCTGTAAATGTCCCTTTCTATTCCCTTCCTGGAAGCCACCAGCCTGTATATAGAACTGAAATATTTACCAGAAGCATTGAGGCCAGCCAGTCCTGACCTGGAATTCCCAGCTCTGAAAAATTGCTGTGTGACTTTGGGCAAGTTACTTGACTTCCCTCAGTCTCAGTCTCTCCAAATGAAAGATAAGAATATCCACTTTTCAGGCCAGGCATAGTGGTTCACGCCTGTAATCCCAGCACTTTGGGAGGCCGAGGTGGGTGGATCACAAGGTCAGGAGATCGAGACCATCCTGGCTAACACGGTGAAACCCCGACTCTACTAAAAACACAAAAAAATTAGCCGGGTGTGGTGGGGGGCGCCTGTAGTCCCAGCTACTCAGGAGGCTGAGGCAGGAGAATGGCGTGAACCCAGGAGGTGGAGCTTGCAGTGAGCCGAGATCATGCCACTGCACTCGAGCCTGGGCGACAGAGCAAGACTGCGTCTCAAAAAAAAAAAAATCCACTTTTCGGGGTTTTTGGAGGATTACATGAAATAAGTGAGTGCCTAAAATCAGTGTTTGTCATACAGAAGGTGTCCGATAAGTGTTAGTTTTCGGTAGAGACACTGAAAATAAATGGGAGCCTACCCGGAAGGCAAGTTAATCAATGGCATTGCCTGGCCCTCTGGCCTCCTTCACATGCCCTTCAAGGCTGGACTTACAAATAATAATAACAACAGTCCAGGAGGAGGGGAAGAAAGATCCAGCCTTTGGCTGTATATTCAATACAGATAGCCTCTACTTCCCCCTTAGGCATTTGGAGAGCTAAACAGGTGTTCCTGAAACTCTCCCCACATTTCTTTTCTTTTTCTTTCTTTTTTTTTAAATTTGAGACAGAGTCTCGCTCTGTCTGTCGCCCAGGCTGGAGTACACTGGCGTGATCTTGGCTCACTGCGACCTCCACCTCCTGGGTTCAAGTGATTCTCCTGCCTCAGCCTCCCAAGTAGCTGGGATTACAGGCACCTGGCAGCACGCCCAGCTAATTTTTTGTATTTTTAGTAGAGTCAGGGTTTCACCATGTTGGCCAGGCTGGTCTTGAACTCCTGACCTCAGGTGATCTGCCCGCCTTGGCCTCCCAAATTGCTGGAATTACTGGCGTGAGCCCCCACGCCTGGCCTCTCCCCACATTTCTAATACATCCCAAGCCCTTAAGGCTCCAGTACAGGGGAACACCTACACAGTGCCCATACTCCCTGTGAGTGGACTGTGGTGCAGCAGCTAGAAGCCCTAGACTGGGGATTTCTGCTCTGCCTCTAGGTGCCTTTGTGGCTATGAGTGCATTTCTTTTTCTTTTCTTTTCTTTACTTTCTTTTTTTGACGGATTTTCGCTCTTGTTGCCCAGGCTGGAGTGCAATGGCGCGATCTCAGCTCACCGCAACCTCTACCTCCCAGATTCGAGCGATTCTCCTGCCTCAGCCTCCTGAGTAGCTGGGACTACAGGCTTGTGCCACCATGCCTGGCTAATTTTGCATTTTTAGTAGAGACAGGGTTTCACCATGTTGGCCAGGCTGGTTTTGAGCTCCCAACCTCAGGTGATCAGCCAGCCTCGGCCTCCGAAAGTGCTGGGATTACAGGCGTGAGCCACCACACCCAGCCAAGTGCATTTCTTAACCTTTCTGAGCTTCCCATTCCTTACCTGCCCTGTGACACCACCTCTCTGCAGGTTTCTGGTGGAAATTAAACAGCGTGTGGGAAATGCCTGCCACATAGTGATAACTGAAACACACTGGCCTGATGCTTGATGAATTCTGTGGACAGATGTGCAACAAGCTTTGCTTTCTAGCAAATGTTCTAGGATACCTTTCACGTAAAACCCTATCATTTTATCTCCCACCTTTGATATGTCTTCTCAGCATTTAGGCTCCTTTTTCTAGGTGGACTGTTGGTTCTGACAAACCCACAATATTCCTTTGATCCCTCTCTCACTCACTTTCCTGACCGCTCACTTTCTAGAAGAGACTGCTCCTCTCACATGGGAGTCTGGTCCCAAGCTCTTCAGAAGACCCTGCGTCAAGGTGCCAGCGAGGACTAGAGCCCTGCCTTATACTTCAGTCAGGGTGCCAGGTGCCTGAAAAGGGGCCCAAAGTGACACCCAGGGCCACCAGATTTGGAGTCCCAGGACAAAGTGAGTTGGGAGGGCCTTCCAGTTTGGGAATGACCCTGGGTTTCTCTTTTCCTTTTTTTTTTTTTTTTTTTGAGATGGAGTCTCACTCTGCCACCCAGGCTGGGGTGCAGTGGCACGATCCTGGCTCACTGCAACCTCTGCCTCCCAGGTTCCAGCAATTCTCCTGCCTCAGCCTCCTGAGTAGCTGGGATTACAGGCACCCGCCACCATGCCCGGCTTATTTTTGTATTTTTAGTAGAGACAGGGTGTCACCATGTTGGCCAGGCTGGTCTCGAACCCCTGACCTCAAGGTGATCCGCCCTCCGAGGCCTCCCAAAGTGCTGGGATTACAGGTGTGAGCCACCACCCCTGGACAAGCCTGGGTTTCTTGATACATTTCTCCTCAGAGGTATCAGCAGTGATACCCCAGCAGCAATCAGAAAGCCCAGGTTGGCCAAGCGCAGTGGCTCATGCCTGTAATCCTAGCACTTTTGGAGGCCGAGTCGGGTGGATCACAAGGCCAAGATATCGAGACCACCCTGGCCAACATGGTGGAACCCCGTCTCTACTAAAAATACAAAAATTAGGTGAGCGTCGTGGTGCAAGCCTGTAGTCCCAGCTACTCAGGAGGATGAGGCAGGAGAATCGCTTGAACTCGGGAGGCAGAGGTTGCAGTGAGCCGAGATCGTGCCCCTGCACTCCAGCCTGGGCAACAGAGGGAGACTGCATCTCAAAAAAAAAAAAAAGAAAGAAAAGAAAGCCCAGGTTGTGTGGAAAGACTGTGGCTGTCCACAGTTGTCTGGCAGGTGCCTCCACAGCAGGCACAGAATGTGCCTGTGCCTCGAAGGAAAGACTGGGCCCAGGGAAGGACTTCTTGCCAAGTGGATGCAAAGGCACAGCTAGCAGGCCAGGAAACCCTGTCAGCTCTTTCTCGACGTGGGCAATCAGCAGGAACAGCCGAGGCCATGCCTCACACCTCCTCTTGTCTCTGCATCATCACATAGCTGCTGTCCTGCAAGCTCCCGCCCTGGCATCGCCACCAGAAAACATGCCCAGGGTTCCATCCCTCAATCATCTCCCAGGAGACCCTCTGCAGTCCTTCCAGGATCGCCCTCCTAAATACCTCCTGAAGGAGACATTGTGCATGACAGATGCCCTTTGCACATTCTGGTCTCCTCGCTACCTCAGGCCCTGCCCTGCCATCTTGCCACATGCCATCAGGTGAGCGTCCATCACTTTCCCCCAGTCTCTTTCTTCCCCTCTGGCTGGAAGCTGATGAATTTGGGCTCATCGCTGGCGTGACTTAAGGGCTTCACACTCTGCACCCACTCAGCACTTCGCCCGCGGTTTATTGCAGCGCGCTCTGTGCAGCCCAGCCTAAGGCTCAGACAAGTGGAGTCTTGCTGCAGCCTCTGTTACCCACTAGGGGGCAGCTCCGACCACATTTCCAGACAGCCTCTTGCCTGAGCACTGACATTCCATTTCCTTCCTCACCCCAAACCCCTGCCACCCAAAACGCCACTTTCTTCCACTCATATTAACCCACTCAGAACAGAAACAACCCTCTCCTGAGCCTCCAACCCAGTGTGTTTACATTCACTGCACACAGAATCACCTAGAGAGATTTAAAAGCATACAAATGCCAACGTGAAGAGGTTTGATTTTTTGTTGTTGTTTTTGTTGCTTTTTTGAGACAGAGTTTCGCTCTTGTTGCCCAGGCTGGAGTGCAATGGCGCGATCTCGGCTCACTGCAACCTCCGCCTCCCGGGTTCAAGCTATTCTTCCGCCTCAGCCTCCTGAGTAGCTGGGATTACAGGCATCCGCCATCATGCCCGGCTAATTTTTGTATTTTTAGTAGAGACGGGGTTTCACCATATTCGCCAGGCTGGTTTTGAACTCCTGAACTCAGGTGATCTGCCCACCTTGGCCTCCCAAAGTGCTGGGATTACAGGTGTGAGCCACCGTACCCGGCGTAATTTTGTATTTTTAGTAGAGACGAGGTTTCATCATGTTGGTCGGGCTGGTCTCGAACTCCTGACCTCAAGTGATCCACCCGCCTCGGCCTCCCAAAGTGCTGGGATTACGGACGTGAGCCACTGTGACCTGCCGAAGATGTTTGATTTTAAACCAATTAAATCGGAATTGCTGGGTGTTGGCCGGGGGAGCGCATGGGCATTTTAAAAATCTGCCCTGGGGTTTGGCGCGGTGGCTCACGCCTGTAATCTCAGCATTTTGGGAGGCCGAGGCGGGCAGATCACGAGGTCAAGAGATCGAGACTATCCTGGCTAACACGGTGAAACCCTGTCTCTACTAAAAATACAAAAATTAGCCAGTCGTGGTGGTGCGCACCTGTAGTCCCAGCTACTCTGGAGGCTGAGGCAGGAGAATTGCTTGAACCCAGAAGGCGGAGGTTGCAATGAGCCGAGAAAAAAAAAATCTGCCCTGGTGATTCTAATAACCATCCTGAGATGAGATCTGTACAAACCCTTCCCTACTCAAGCACCCATCTTCTTAATTCTGGAATATGACCCACTAATACTTTGTTCCCTACCCTTAGGCAGGGGCCACTTTAGAAGAGGCAAAGTCACACAGTGCTCGGCAGAGAATCTAAACCTCAGCCTTCAACATACACGAGACTTCTAAGAGGGGTGAAATGTAGTCTCTGTTTACTTCGAACATTCATAGTTCTGTAATGTTTGCATTTTATAACAAGCACATCTTAGAAAAAAAAATAAACACATGAATATATATGTAGCCTGCCCTCACAATTCTAGTAACAAGTGACCCCTCAGAGGAAATTAAGTCAGTCTGGAAACCCACCTTCTCTTCCCCAGGGCTGATAGCTGGCAGGGACTTCCAGAATGCCATATCCTAGCATTTAAAAAAAAAAATTTTTTTTTTTTTGAAACAGGATTCTGCTGTGTCACCCAGGCTGAGGTGCAGTAGCACGATCACAGCTCACTGCAGCCTTGACCTCCTGGACTCAAGTAATCCTCCCACCTCAGCCTCCCAAGTAGCTGGGACCAGCATGTGTCACCACACCTGTTAATTCTTGTATTTTTTGTGGAGATGAGGTTTTGCCATGTTTCCCAGGCTGGTCTCAAACTCCTGGCCTCAAGTGACCCTCCGACCTTAGGCTCCCAAAATGCTGGGATCACAGGCACCAGCGTTTTATTTATTTATTTATTTAAGACACAAAGAAGACGGTGTGCCTGAGTCTGATGTGGAGACATAGAAGCTTTTCTTTCCCCAACACTGCACCATAATCCTCCACCTCCAGCCCAGAGCGATGTGGAGTGAGGACGTGTTTACTCTCCAAACACAAAGGCAGAGGAAATCATCATGCCTTTCTGCTGGGACTGGTTTGTCATCACTGTTCTTTGCATTATTACAGTTTGTATAGAGAGGCATTCATGTCTATCTCATAGGATCTCATGTCACGGTAGCTGAGTACTGGGTTTGAATCCCAGTCTTACTTTACCTCTCAGCCCCTCAGTTTCTTCATCTAGAAAATGGGTGTAGGAATGACAGCTAACTAATTTGTCTGTTACGGATTAAATGAAATGAAGCATGCCGGGCATGGTGGTTTACACCTGTAATCCCAGCACTTTGGGAGGCTGAGGTGGGTGCATCATTTGAGGTCAGGAGTTCGAGACCAGCCTGGCCAACGTGGCAAAAACTCGTCTCTCTAAAAATACAAAAATTAGCCAGGCATGGTGGTGGGCACCTGTAGTCCCAGCTACTCAAGAGGCTGAGGCAGGAGAATTGCTTAAGCCTGGGAGGCAGAGGCTTCGGTGAGCCGAGATCACACCACTGCACTCCAGACTGGGTGACACAGTGAGACCCTGTCTCTAAAAAAAAAGAAGAAAAAGAGAAGAAACGAGGTATGGAAAGCACTTAATATCTGGGACAATGGTGAGTACTTAATAAATGCCAGTAACAACACTGTTTTTATTAAGTTAGCATTATGAAAAAATATTATTATCTTACAAATGAGTAATTTCAGACTCAGGGTTTGGCTTGCTGGCAGTGAAACAAAGACTGGAAGTAGGTGTGTCTGCCTTTCCGCGTCTACATCGCAGGTTCTCATCAGACATCAGACAGTAGACTTCAGACATGCAGGGGTTTCTTGGCTTGGCCCAGCAGGGGTGTATGCTCCAGCGGTCCATCTGGGCCTGTTAAACTTAACCTGCCCTGCACCCCCATTCTACCAATGGCAGCCCAGGGGCTTGTGGTGGGGGAATACTCAGGAGGCACCTCCCTGGAAGGGATCTCACCTCTTTCTTCTACAGATGGGGAAACTGAGGCTCACAGATGGGAAGTGGCCTAGCCTCTGCCACACCAGATGTCAGTTGGAGCTAAAATCCGGGTTCCTGATCTCCAGTTCAATAACCTTTCCATTCCAACTTGATAATTTCTCTCTGTTTTTTTTTTTTGTTCGTTTGTTTTTGAGACAGAGTCTCACTCTGTCACCCAGGCTAGAGTGCAGTGGTGCGATTACAGCTCACTGTAGCCTCTACCTCTTGGGCTCAAGTGGTCCTCCCATCTCAGCTTCTTGAGTAGCTGGGACCACAGGCTTACATCACCATGCTCGGCTAATTTTTAAATTTTTTTTTGTAGAGATGGGGATTTCACTATGTTGTCCAGGCTGGGCTCAAACTCCTGGACTCAAGGAATTCTTCCACCTCAGCCTCCCAAAGGGCTGAGATTACCGGCATGAGCCCCTGCACCTGGCCAGGAATTTCTTTTCTTTTCTTCCAAGACAGGGTCTCGTTTTTGGTTTTTTTTGTTTTTTTTTTTTTTTTTAGCCTGGTCTCAAACTGCTGGGCTCAAGCAATCCTCCCACCTCAGATTCCCAAAGTGCTAGGATTACAGGCCTGAGCCACTGCGTGGCCGAGAATTTCTAACTCCAGACTTGGAGCCAGTAATAACTTCCCCTTTCCTGCTCGTCTCACCTGCAGAGTCCTCTGACCCAAAGCTAGGCTGGGAGGGGGCTGGCTCAGGAGTGGCGGCCAACACGTGGAGGGGAAATGATGGGGAGGGAAGTCAAGGTAGAAAAGCAAGGGTTTTGGAGTCTAAAGAGACTCAACTCTGGCCTCTGTCTGTGCCTCAGGTTCCCCATCTGTCAAATGAGAGTAATAGCCCCTAGCTCATGGGTGTTCTGAGGACTCTGCTGAATATACATGAACTAGCTCTGTGAGGAAATGAAAGACACAGGTGGGCTGCTGGTCGAGGGAGGGCGAGGACTTGCTTTTCACCCTCTTGAATTCATGTACAGAATTTGCCCATTCAAAAATAATTTTGTTATATAAGTGAGTTTTGGGCTGTTTTTTTTTTTTTAAACAGTGCCTGGTACTCAATAAACATTGATTAACTTTACTGTGATACAGGTCCCCCGCCTGACTTCAAATCACCTATGCTCCCCCAGCTTCAAGTCAAAGCAAAGACTTCAAACAGAAGAGGTGGGCAGTGCCACTGTGGGCTTTCGATTCAGAGTTAGGTTTGAGTCTTGTGTCTCCCACTTACTAGCTGTGGGGCCTGGGCAAGAGGCTGTGCCTCAGCTGCCTCAGTTCTCAAAGGAAATTCATGGTCTTCAGCCCCTGATTGTCACCAGGACTTAATAAGATCAGATCTGACACCGAGTGAGCTGGGGGCACGTGCCAGGCACTGCCCTGAATGCTGCACACATATGGCTCATTACCTCCACACAAGAGGCAGGTGCCACTGTCACCCCCATTGTACAGATGAAGACTGAGAGGCTCTGGCATGTGAAGCCCGGCCAGGAGCCCAGCCAGTCTGGCCCCAGAGTCAGTGACCCTAACCATGGTACCACCCTGCCTGTCCTGTGTACATCGTGAACTCAGGAGAACACCTGGCACATGGAAACTCCTCTGGAAACGATCGCTGTGACTGCTATTGATGCACACCAAGATCTTTCCCAGGCCACTTTACTGAACTGGGGCAAGAGGACTTGACAACTCACAGACAGCTTCTGGGGGTAGCATTCAGGCATGTGGTGCTCAAAGGCTCTGAGACTCTTTCCTCATTTCTCCGATATCCACAAATTGCAGAGCCAATCCTCACAGTCCCAGGGCGATGAGCTCTCCTCATCCCACACCCCAAGCTCCTTCCTGCTGGTTCTGGTGCCCTCAGATACCACCTTATAGGCAACCCCCAAGCAACTTAACAAAGCCCTGTTAAGTTAAATGTGCCTGTTGGGGCATTCGTAGCAATGCAGTTACAGCTGAGGGAGAGCCTGCCCCCAAATCCTGAGCTCAGCAGGTTTCAAACACCTCATCCACCCTCCCCCACCTAATCTACCAAGCAGATTTCAGGACAACCCACTGCAAGAGACAAGCTATTCCTTCATTCTGGTCAATACCGCAAATGTGGGGCCTGCCAACAGCGGGGATTTGTCATTGCTCCTCCCTGCCGCAGCCACCTGGAATGGCCAACTTTATGCTAATGAAGGCCAGGCAGGGGTTACTGCCGTGCAGTTTAAGGCTTGGCTTACACACACGCACACACGTGCACACACACAATTCAACATCAACGCCCAGCTTACCTCACAAGAACCCAATTGGGTGGAGGGTAATGGGTCCAGGCCCCCATGGATAATGCACCAAACATAATCTGCTTATGAATAATTGAGCTTATTGTTAGTGTCAATGTCTAAAACCATCGGCTGAAATTCCAAATAGATTTCCAGGGGAGAGGAAGGCCTCACAGCCTCATTTCACATTCTCTGGTCCTCCAGTGAGAGAGTACAGAGCAACCCACACACCTTACTTGGCTCCCCCGGCCTCCCAGGCACACATCACACCTGGAGATACAAGGAACCTAGACTGGGGAGGAGACGCAGAGCAGAGCAGTTCCAGGAAGTCAGGACCAGCCCCTGGCCCACACACCCCAGCCTCCGCAATGAACTAGCTCTGGACCGCTCAGGCGATGGGAGCAGCTTTCATTGAAGGTTGAGCACCAGCTAAGACAACCCCAAATCTTCTGGAAATGTTCCTCCCACCCCACTCCTTCTGCCTCATGGAGGCCCTGCCCAGACTCCATCCTCCCCCAGAGAAATGATTCCACAGCCCTACTCCTGCCCAAGTAGGGGACTCTGGACTTGCCAAGGTCCTGCTGCCGCTAAGTGGAGGCCCCATGCCTACCACATGCCCAGATCAGTGGCTAGTTATGCCACAAAACTGCCCAGGAGAGGAGGAGGGCTTAGTGAGCCACCTGCAGGGCCATGCCCCAGCTCACATCCTAGGCCAAACCTGGGAGAAGAAAAGGAGCAGCAGGTCAGGGCAGCAGTTGCTGGGCTGTGTGTGGGAGGAAGGAGCCTTAGGTGGATGGAGTGGTGGGAAGCAGGAAGAGAAGGGGTAACACTTTCATCATGGGGAGGGGAGGAGAGGGGAGGGAAACAGACTGGGGTCAGGACTAGAAGCCACCTTCCTCTTCACAGCTACCCAGAGGCCTGGGGCACCCTCTGGCCTTGGAACAGACATTTAGCTGTACCAAAGGGACCTCCGCCTCAACAGAGACCCTGCCCAGGACCGGGGGCCCCTCCAGTACTCCACCTCTCATCCCCAGACCCCCGCAGGGTCTGTCTGACATACTCCCCGGGAAGCCTATAGTCTGGAACAACAGCCAGGTCACAACTGGGTGCTTCTCATCCCCCGACAGCACCCACCTCATGTGGCAGGTGTTCAGCTTAAATAGGCTGAGAACATGATCATAGGCAAGCACATGCCCACAGTGGGGCTGGGAGGCGGGGTCATGGGCATCTGGAACCCTGGAGTGGTAGATGTCACCGAGAGAGGGGAGAGTGGAGGGGAGAGGGGCTCAGGGCTGTTACCTGTATCCTGTCTTCCGGCAGCTCCGTTTTCATGGCCAGCATCTCCCGGGCATAGACGTCTGGGTAGTGGGCTTCGTTGAATGCCTTCTCCAGCTCCTCTAGCTGGTAGGAGGTAAAGATTGTCCTGAGGGGAGCAAGACCGAACACTCAGGACCCCAGAAACTAAAAGAGCCTGTCTCAGACAAGACAGAACCGCCTTCCTCTGTGTCTCCTGGGCAGGCCCCGAACCCAGGCTGGCTCAGCACAATAGGACACAAATTCTCTCTCTCTCTCTCTCTCTGTCTCTCTCTCTCTCTCTCTCTCTCTCACACACACACACACACACACACACACACACACACACTTTCTCTCTCTCTTTCACACACACACACACACACACACACACACACACACACACACACACACACTTTCTCTCTCTCTCTGTCTCATAGTTTAACCCTCCGGACTCTTCTTCCTCAAGGCTGAGGGCTCACACTACCCTTCCTGTGTTTGGGGGGTGGCCATTATTTCAGCCCTCAGTGACATTTCACACTGGGAATCTTTCTGGAGGTGCTCTGGGGGAAAGGCTGTCCCAGAAGAAGGACATTCTAGAAAAGCAGAAAGCCCCTCTTCCTCCCAAGCACAGAGAAGAGGGGCTTACCAGATTACTAAATAGCCCAGCTCCACCCAGACCAGCTTCCTGGGCCCCTCTCACAGTCACTAGAGCTGAATTTTTGAATGCCTTTCAAAGTTAGAAGATTCACCGGAAGGTCAAATGCAGCCTCAACCTCAGTGTTTATACAGCAGAGAACTGAATCTCCCACTCCCTCAACTCCCCCCAGCACCCCTTCCTCCTCCCCTGCCCTTCCTCGACATCACCCAGACCTACCAGCCTCCCAGCACTGCCCCGAGCCTTTTCCAGTCCTATTCTGTGCTGACAAGGGAAGGGCCACCTTCCAACCATCCCATACTTGCAAGCTCAGCCACTCACCTGCAGGGGGTTCCATTCGGGCCACCCTGAGAGCCCACAGGCACAGTTCCCCACCCCCAACAGAGCAGTTCATATGGATCTATTTTGTGTTATAAACTGCTTTAAGAATCTGGTAAAAACTACATTCTCTCACCTTAGGAAAATGGGCAAATAAATAGGCCCCAATTTGTAAAATTTTGCCTCCAACATTAGGGGATTCATAGGTCCTCTTTCTTGAATAAACCGCTAAACACCTACTTCCAGACACAAACTCTTCTCTTTTCAAACCTTAATTTCACCAGGTTTTGGGTGGTCTTTATCCTGAAACCTCATTAACAAGCCAACAGGCAATATAGTCCAGCGTCCACAAACTGAACTGGTAGAAATGGTCCAGCCCTTGCCTGGTCCCCTGGGATCAGACTCTGGCGCCAGCACAGGGGTGTAGAATCCCTTATTGCTGGGCCCTCACCCTCGTCTAACACAACCCAAAAGTACAGATTTGAACCTCACACAATCCTTGTGCTGGTGTCCACTTTAATATCTCGGGGGATAATTCAGGGAAGAAAGATTGTGCTCTTTGCAGAAAATGACTGGTTTGATTCTAAATCGTTTCTCCTATTCTCTGGGGGTGGGGGGTGATGATGTGAAATGCTTATGCACACACGAAGTTAATTCTTGAGAATTTTGAAGATCTGCTGCTTTTTCGCTTCTGCCATCTGCTGAAGGGCCCATGGACAGAGCATCAAAATAAACAATAAAGAAATTCAAGTCCTTTCCAAAACCAGGGAAACTGAGGCACAAAGGCAGTCAAAGAGGAGAGCCGATTATAGGTCATGTAGAACCATTCAAGTCTCAGTCCCTACTTCGGAGAGCCCCTCTTCAAAAAACAAAACAAAAACTCAAATCTCCCAAACTTTCCCTAATTCATGCCTCAGAGCTGACACACTTCCCCCATAATGTGACCCAGCCTGTGTTCCTGGTTTATGCAGAACCCCAGACCCTTCAGGCTCCTGTTGTGTCCAGTCTGAAGAGGAGCTGAGCTTTCCCAGTAGAGAGAAAGAGCAAAATCAGAGAGACTCTCACCGTGGCTGCTTTGTCCCCACGCCACCCCCCAAACGCTTTTAAGTCTGGTTTGTTTCTGGGAGATAAAAATAAGCCCATCTCTCATCACCAGATTCCAGGGTCTCTTACCCCAAATCCCCAAATGACAGAAGCTCGAGTAAAATGTATTTTTTCCTAATTAAAACAAGCACTTGAAATCCGTAGCCATTCTCCTCTCTCCAATAACCTTCTCCCTTCATGCAACAGAAATAGAAACCCCAGGCAGTTAATACCCGAGTGTTGGTGAGTTGCTGTTCTGCCCCCATGAAAACCCACCAAAACCCCCAAAGGTGTTCCTGGCGAAGAGAGTGACAGATGAAAACAGACGGTCACTAAGTGCCATGCAGTGAGATGTCCTGATGCGGAAATGCCATTCCTGTACCCAGGGTTTGGGGATGCTTTTTCCAGGGCTCTCCATGCTGTGGGAACCCCTCCCACCCCTCCTGGCACCAGCACAAGGGCAGTTTTGCCGGTCTCTGACCTGCCCTCCCTGCAAGGTCCCTGTCCCTGCCTGGGGAAGATGACAAGATTACCCACCCTGGGACCCGCGTAAGATGGGTGCATAAAAAGTGTTTTAATGAATATTCGTTGAATGAATTGAATGTAAAAAAAAAAAAAAAAGACCAAAGATCAAGACCAAAAAAATTTTTCTTTTTCCTTTTAAAATAAAACAATACAAACTAAACAAATGCAAACAGCTGCCGGAAAAAGAATAGACCGAGATCCGGAGAAACCAAGTCGAAGTTCACCTGCATTCAAGCCAAAACCTATTAGGGCCTAAGGGGTGAGGATAGGCCGTTTTAAAAGGTGGCGGTCAACAGTGGAGTTTCCCAGGGCCAAGGAAGAACGAAGCATAGAAAAGCGCAGAGAGGGTGCAAAGAGGCTGAAAACAAATTAGGGTGGGAGAAAACGATGTGGCGGCGGGGGTGCCAGAGAACGCCCTAGTGGAGAAATGTCTTGAAAGGGCGCAGAGTCTGTGGCGGCCCCACCTGATGGGGACGGAGTGGGGTGCGGGGAAATAGCTCCGAGGTGAGCGCCGGGGCAGCACCTGCGAGCAGCACCCGCAGAAAGGCAGGCAGATTTTTGGTTCTTTCTCCTTTATTTCCTTGAAAACCACCTTACAAATGTACCCAAGGAACTGGTAGCAGTGCGGCTGGTGCGGAAGGGAATGAGGGCGGGGGTGGGAGAAGGGTAGGTTACTTTTCAAGATATACCTGTCGGCATCTACTGAGTTTTAACTTTGTGCAAGTAATTTCCATTTAAAGACAAAAACAAAACAAAACAAAACAAAACAAAACCCTTTCTAGTCTGTACCCCGATGCAGTCCACCCTACTCCAGCTACGGCTGGTGGGACCGTCCAGTCTACATCGCCTACCACTCCATTTTGCAGACGAGGAAACTGAGGCTCACAGAAGGGAAGCGACTCGGTCAGAATCACGAATGAGCAGAAGCCAAAAGAAAATGCTCTGTCAGTGCAGAGATCGCTCCAGCTTTGGAGAACGGTGGGAGCAGAAAGCTTAGGGAGTTGGCAGAGAGGACAGGGACCCCGGGAGAGAAATGGGGGCGGCGGTTGAGGCCGAGGGCAAAGAACCGGCTCTGGCAGGAGGTGGGAGCTAATCTGCCCGCCGCCGGGTCTGTGTGGCTCTCAGAATGTACTGGTGCGGGGATCTGGGGACCGCCCCCACTCTGTGGCTCAGTTTGGCCTGTGTTGGAGCCTTTCCTTTCTCCTGAACAAGGAGGAGAAAGCCCGAACCGGGCCGCTTTCCCGGCGGCCACTCATCCTGCTCAACCGGTGCCGACGCCAAGGCCCCCGGGCAGATTCCGCCAAACAACCCGTGGTCTGCGCCCTGGCACGGCCTCGGACCTCAGATCCGTTGTCGGCGAAAATAGGGTCCGAGAGACCCGATCCCGGAACGGGGGACGGCAGCGGGGTGCGCGGGCAGGAGAGGTAACAGAAAGCGGGGGCCTCACCTGTGTCGCCGCTTCTTCCGTTTCTTGGTCTGGTTTAAAGCAGATTTGGACATTTTTCGATCGCTGGAGGAAACATCTTCAGAATCTGAAAAGCGGGCGTAGGGACATGCGGCAGAGTGGGGGACGCGCTCCGCTGTGCCCGAAACCCGCGAGGGCCCCACCCCGGGCTGCCTCCGCGAGCGGCGGGGACCTGCTCTGTCTCCCCAGGAAGCCTGCGGGCGCCCCGGTGGCCGTCCCATCCCTGAGCTCAGGCTGACCTCTCCCGCGCCGGGGCCCGAATCCGGAGGTTTTGAACAGATTTCGTTGTAAGAGAGGCAAAGGCCCCGGCGCGCTTGGGACCGGGACGACGGAGAGCGAGGCAGCCTTAGGGGGCCGCAGAGATCCCCGGCAGCGCTCGCGACCCTGCTGCGCCCTGCCCTGCGCGGCCAGCCCCAATGCCCCGGGCCGGAAAGTTGGCCTCGAGGAGCGAGGAGCGGAGCGGAGGCGTGGGGAGCTGGGCTCCGGGAAGACTGGGGGCTGCCGAGCACCGTCCTTTTCGCAAGGCGGCACAATGCGTCCCTACTCGAGGCCCGAGAGCCTGCGACGCGCTGGTTTTCGTTGCCTTTCCACGTAAAACAAAGTAAAACGCAACGAAAAATCGGGGGAATTGCCAAGCTCAAACAGGAATCGGAGGTTCGAGCGGGCCGCGACACACCTCCCGGAAAGCAGCGCGGGGAGAAGGCGGAGAGGTCACCCAGGGTCCCCGAGCCCGCGCGTCCCCGGGCTCCAGTATATAGTGGCGCTTACGTGGGAGAGGATGGCGGCCGCTTTAGCTGCCGCGATGGCCGGGTTGTCTGAGCTCGTGGGGGTGAAAAATAAACCCCAGTTGACCAGCGCGGGATTTGGGAATCAGACAACTTTGGACACCAGGGATGGGGCCGGAGCCGGAACAGCATCGGGCTCGAGGAGTGCGGATCCTACACCAGGCCGGGGCCGCAGTGGAGCAGCGGTGCTGGGGCCCTCCGACACGGCCGGCGACTCTGCACCACGGGCTCCGACACCCCAAACCCAGTTTTCAGTGGGGCTCCAACAGAGTGCCGTGGCCGAGCCCTGCCCGACGCGGGGACTGGAGAACTGCGCGGCCGCCCGAAACGCTTGGGGCCGAAACCCTGCGGACGCCGAAGCATCCTCCCGGGCCCCATCACCAGGCGCGTCGGCCCAAGGCCCAGGCGGCGACCCCCGGCCTGGCAGGAACTTTTCCGCCTGGAGGCCTGGTCCAGCAAGCGAGAGCCGACGGCGCGGGGCTCCCGGCTGTCGCCCCCCAGTCAGGCAGCAGCGCAACCTCTCCTCACCTACCCGAGCTGGCCGTCTGGCTGGTGTCCAGCGGCCCCGATGCTCTGCCCAATGGCTGCAAGTGGACGCTCTGCGGGTCGGACAGCACTTCCAGGAAGGTGGGCTGCGTGTAGAAGCCAGGGAGCCCCCCGGGCCCCAGAAGCCCCATGCCGCCCACCCCCGCGGGGCTGAGCACTGAGCGCGCCGCCAGCAAGTGCCCGGGGGCCAGGCCGTCGAGCGCTGCCCGCGGGTGGGAGCTCGGGGGCTCCTTGTTCAAGCCCAGGATCTCCTGGATGCCGAACCCAGTGCACCTGGCCGGGGCGCCCCCCGAGGTACTCTTGGCCACTGTCTCGGATTTGGGCTTGCTCAGCGCTTCCCCTGCTTTCCCCGTCATCTCCCTGTTCTTTGGAGGGGCTGAGGCCGCAGGTCTTTAGCTCCCCCCACCCCCCCGCCGGGCTTCCCGCTTCGCGAAGTTGGTCCCAGGTGCCCCCTCCGGTGTCTAATGCTCTGGAGCCCAAGGAGATTCCCCTTTTATCCAACCAGGCGGCAGCCCAAGTGGGGTCAGAGCTGAGCAGCCAATCACCGGGGCCAGGAGCGATTAGGAATTCCAAAAAGCTGGCAGCTCCCGCCGCAGGCAATGTCGAATGGCCAGGGTGCTGGGGGTGGAGCACCGGGTGGGCTCTGCAGGATGCCCATGGGCAGGGACCCCAGGGGCCGAAGTGAGACAACCAGGTTCAGGTTCAGGGCTGTTCCGGGAGGCAGAGTGGCTTGGGGCTCTGGGCAGATTCTGGCAGGGACAGGTCCCTGAGGTCAGGTGGAAGGATGGGCTAAGGGCAGAGGTGAGAGACTGGGAGACCTCCTTCCCTCAACTCCTATGCAGGTTGGCAGCATCAGGGCGGCCTGAATATGGCACCTCTGTGTAAACGGTTGAACAAGGGAGAGGTAAGTGCTGGGGCAGTGTGTGTGGTGGTAAGCTGGGAAAAGATCAGGCCAAGGTGTGCAGAGGGTGATGTAGGGGTAGGGAAAGTTTGCTTCCCCAGCACAAGGTATAATGCCTAGTTCGGAAGAGCTACTCAACACATATTGGCCCAATGAATGAATGATAAATGGGTCAGAAAGAGGGGTCCCTGGTGGGAAAGAGGAACAGTGATGATTACTTTTGGAGAACAACCATGGACATCCAAACCTCTTCCTAGAGTAAGCATGAAGCATGCCCAACTTTCATGGGAGGACTTGATTCTTCCACCCAATTCATTCGACTAATATGTATTGAGCTACTAGCTCCGACCTGGTAGCCAGGGGTTCCGCAGTAAATCAGACAAGGCAAGGGCCCTGCTATACTTCAGAGTTCATTGAGCAAACAGAATGAAGAGGAAGGGATTGTTGATGTGGAGGGAGAGGAAGGAGGAAGCGGGTGAGAGGAAATTAAAAGGTAAGCTGCTTTCCCCTGCACTCCACCACCTCAGCTAACTCTTCTGTGACCTTCTTGGGGCTGGGAACTATCTTATCGACCTTGAGGCTCCCTTCTTCACTGCGCCTAGCATATGGTCAGTTCATGGTAGGTTCCTTGAATTGAAGGCACCCTATGGGGAGATAAGGACTAGGTCCATTGCTTTAAGCAGAGATTGGAAAACCAGGCTGGGAAGATTCCATCCAGGATTTCTTAGCCAGTCAGGTGCAAACCCCCAAATGGAAGGAAACCCCCTAGCCATACCTGGCCTATTGCCAAGGTGTCTGGTACCCTCGTGGCTGCCATGGGGCCAGCCTGAGAGGTAAGAGGAGGCACCTCAGGATGTGGAACCTAGACCTTGCTAGCAGGGCTGTTGTGAGGAGGGTCTCCACTCCCATTGGTTTGGTCCACATAACAGCTGGAATTAGGTAGGGGCATCTCATGGTGCAGGAGATATCTGGGAGAGTGGTGCCTCTGTATCCCATAATAAGGCCGTGCCTACTGTGTGCCTACATCATCCCAGGCCCCTTACATGGTGTCATCTCTGGTGACACAATCTCAAGGCATTCTTCACCTTATATTCTATGGAGGTGGGTCCCAAGTAACACCACTCACGTAGACAACAATGTGAATGGTGCCCTCTGGAGTTGTGCAAAGCAGTAGACTCACCTGCCAGAAAAGAATTTCTGTCCCCATTTAATGGATACACAAACTTATGTTGCCTAAGAGGTTACCTAGCTAGTAAGCATCAGAGGTCAGATGAGTCAGCGCATGAGTCTGATGTCAGAAGCTGTTTTCTTTTGACTCCATCCCTCTCTCAGCCCACTCTCCATGCCAGCCCACCCTGGGAGGATGGATGAGGATGTTATGTTAATGGCATCTGTCATGTCCCTGACTTATCATGAGACATCCACGATGAGCCAGATGCCAGCTGATGGGCAAACGTGAGTGATGGAAAACAAGTGTGTGAGTGATGAAGTTGGCTCTTGCCAGATGAGGATGAAAAATCTCTTGACCAAACCCCATGTCTGAAGCTGCCAGTTCCCAATATCAGAGAGATAGTCGCCATCCTGCTGTAGGAGGTTGGAGACCGGGACAACCCCAGGCCCCCTGAGAAAAACCCTTGCCAGAGGCTGAAGGTGAAGGGAGGACTCAGCTTCCACCTGCGGCCAGCTCCACCCTGGGAGCTGGACTCCTTGACAGACTCCTGGCTACGGGGCTGTCTCTGAGCTTTTGAGGTGTCACTGTTACTGCTCCCCAGCTGCCCAGCTTGGGCTGGACCCAGACTTAAGACATTTGTGGCCGGGCGTGGTGGCTCACGCCTGTAATCCCAGCACTTTGGGAGGCTGAGGGAGGCGGATCACTTGAGGTCAGGAGTTTGAGACCAGCCTGGCGAACATGGTGAAACCCTGTCTCTACTAAAAATACGAAAATTAGCCAGGTGTGGTGGCGTGTGCTACTCCGGAGGCTCAAGTGAGAGAACTGCTTGAACCCAGGAGGAGGAGGTTGCAGTGAGCCAAGATCGCGCCATTGCACTCCAGCCTGAATGACAGAGGGAGACTCCATCTCAAAAAAAAAAAAAAAAGACATTTGTGGACCATAACGGGGGACCCTACAAGGAAATGCAGATCCCCACAGCTTGGGCCAGGGGTGTGGGGAGTGAAGTGAACCCTTTCAGAGGCATTTAGTTTGGTCACACTGAGTCCAAACCTGGGCCTTCTCTGAGCTCATCATTTCTCTTCTCTCTTAACATCGATTGCTTTACCTAGAAAATAGCCCGATAATGGGGTTGTGAGCATCCCTTGACCCCCTGAGTTAGCATAGAGGACAAGGGCCTGGTCTCTAGAGCCAGACTGCCTGGGTTCAGATGCCCACTCTATCACTTGCTTGGTGACTTTGGGAATATTATCTAACCTCTTTGTGCCCTCTGTGCCTCAGTTTCTTCATCCATAAAATGGGGATCATAGTAGGACCCCACTCCTTAGAATTATCATAAAGGGCCAGGTGTGGTGGCTCACACCTGTAATTCCAGCACTTTGGGAGGGCAAGGCGGGTGGATCATTTGAGGTCAGGAGTTCAAGACCAGCCTGGTCAACATGGTGAAACCTGGTCTCTCCTAAAAATACAAAAATTAGCTGGGCATGGTGGTGGACACCTATAATCCCAGCTACTCAGGAGGCTGAGGCAGGAGAATCGCTTGAACCTGGGAGGCAGAGGTTGCAGTGAGCCAAGATCGCACCACCAGCCTGGGCGACAGAGTGAGACCCTGTCTCAAAAATTAAAAAAAAAAAAGAAGTGTCATGAAGGCCGGGCCTGGTGGCTCACGCCTGTAATCCCAGCACTTTGGGAGGCTGAGGTGGGTGGATCATGAGGTCAGGAGATCGAGGCCATCCTGGCTAACACAGTGAAATCCCGTCTCTACTAAAAATACAAAAAATTAGCCGGGCGTGGTGGCGGGCGCCTGTAGTCCCAGCTACTCAGGAGGCTGAGGCAGGAGAATGGCGTGAACCTGGGAGGCGGAGCTTGCAGTGAGCCGAGACTGCGCTACTGCACTCAAGCCTGGGCAACAGAGCCAGACTCCATCTCAAAAAAAAAAAAAAGAAAGAAAGTGTCATGAAGATTAGAGCTATCCAGTGCTGCACATGGTGAATCAGTGTAGACTGTGAGTATACAAAAAGGCTACAAATGAAGGCTCCTATGATGTTTACTATTATTATTACCATGCAGCAGGATACTGTACTTGGGACTGGCAGTGTGGTGGGGAATAAAGACCTGGTCCTTGCCTTCCTGGAACTTGGACCAGTGGTGGGAGGAGGTGACATATTTAAAGCACTTAGCATGGTGTCTGACCCTGGGGACTCAATACATTGTGGCTCTTACTGCTATTGTGAATGGGTGCCAGGCCCCTTGTCACCTCTAATCCACTCAACTTCTGTGAGAGGCCAGAAGTTCTGTCCCCCTTGTCACAAATAAGACACTAAAGCTCCAAGAGGGTGATTAGGGAAGAGGGAGGATGCTGTCTCTATACTTTGCCTTGGTTACTGGTCATTTGTAGCACCAGCTACAGCCAAATCATTCTCCCTTGCTAGCTGCCTCCCCGAGTCACTATCCAGCCATCAGCAACAATTTTTTGGGAGGGGTTGGAAAATGCAGGGAGGAGACAGGATCTGTGTTTGAATCAATAATCCCATTATGAATCTGTCACCCATGAGTGTTTCACTTTTTTAATATGCTTGTGTATTTTGGGCTTACCCTGAAGGGTAAACCTTATTTTTCTTTGTGCTGGACAGTTCTCTTGAGAGAGTCTCGATGTGCCTTCGGCAAAGGTCCTGCTCTCACCTCCTGCTGTCATCAGACATTGGACCAGATATTCGGTTCCCTTTGTTCAGTAAAGAGGCTTATGATGGGAGGAAAACAGGAGGGATTTTGATTCACATTTAACCTACACACACTGAACATTTATTAACTCCTGAAATTTTTGCATTGTCTCAGTGAATCCTTCCAACTACCCTGAAAGGTGTGTATCATTTTTTCAAATGAGGGAGCAACTTCGGAGAGGCTGGGTGACCTCCCCAACAACACACAGCTATCCAGGGCCAAGATGGAGTCCAAGTTCACTGCATTCTGGTTTTCTTAAAGATGAAACTACAGCCTCAAGCAGAGGAAGGGATCCTGGATAGAGGGAGGTGAACCCTGCCCCAAAAATGCTTGAGCTACCATGGCCCATGGAGAATGGGAGGGAAGAAAGGAAGGGGTCCTCAGAGGGCTTGGGAAGGGCTACCCAGGTCCAGGCTGGGGGGCATCCCCAGAACCCAGGGCTGCTAAGAGCATCTCACCTCAAACACCTGGGCCTGGTTTTTTCTTCTAGTTTTCCAAGGGCCCAAGGAGTCATCTGTACTCTTAGAGTTTTCTCGGAGGGCCTGGGGGAGTGGGAGGGAAGGAACAGGTTCTTGGTAATGCCTCCAGCCAGCCCTCTAGAAGGCCTTGACTTCTGTCAGTCATGTTCAAGGTGCCTCTTGTAGCTCAGCTGAGGGTTTCATCCAGCAGAACATTACCTATCAGGTTTCAGCTGCCCACAGCCCCTACATCACGACTCCCTCAGCATTAACCTTTCCTTAGCCTCTCAAGGGAAAAGCAAGACACCCGCACCATGTCCTTGTCTCTCCTGCCATGTTCAGCTACGGGCAGTGTGGAACAATGGAAAGATGCAACCATACAGGACTGTCTATCACCACCTGGCTGGCCACCTCGGGCTGTGTCTCAGGTTCCCCTTCAGGCTCAGATGGTATGGGTGCCACCATCCTGATGCCCTGAGAAGGCATGCGTTCTGTTTTACAGCCCCCCCCGCCCCAATGATACTTTTGTAAGACAATCTGGTCGAGTATTTATTCCTTCAACAAATATTTATTGAGCACCTACTATGTGTCAGCTACTATTCTTGGTGGGAATACAGTGGGGTGAAAGACAGCAAAGCCTCTGTTGTCATGGAATTTATGTTCTGTTTGTGGGGTACAGTTCACAAACAGGCAAGGACATAAGCAAGACCATCTAAGAAGGTGAAAAATGCCAAGGAGGAAATCAAGTGGCATTTGAGTGACTGTAGGAGGGGCCTCTTTTGTTTGTTTGTTTGTTTGTTTGTTTTTGAGATGGAGTCTCGCTCTGTTGCCCAGGCTGGAGTGCAGTGGCACAATCTTGGCTGACTGCAACCTCCGCCTCCTGGGTTCAAGCGATTCCCCTGCCTCAGCCTCCCGAGTAGCTGGGATTACAGGCGTGTGCCACCATACCCGGCTAATTGAGGGGCCTCTTTTGGATGCAGGGCAGGAGGGGCCTTTCTGAGGAGTTAGCATTGGGGCAGAGACCTGGGTGGGGAGAAGAAGCCAATCTTGTGGGGTGCAGGGGCAGGGGGTGGGGTTAGGGGATCTGCATGTGTGCATATCCTGGGGGTCAACCAGGTAGGTGTCTCTGAGGACCAGTGAGGAGGTGAAGGAGGCTAGAGGGGAAAGCGGAAGAGCAGGTGAGCCTCTGAGAAAAGCTCATTAGGGTTCATAAGCCGGGCCTCCTGGGCCAGGGCAAGGACTTTGAATGTTATCCCCAGTGGGAGAGAGAGAAAGCTGTTGGCAATTGTGAAACAGGGAGGCCAGCGAGGGGCTCACAGTGTGGTCCAGGCAAGAGCCAGCAGGGGATGGCTTCAGGGTGGAGGGTAGCAGTGGAGATGGAGAGAAGAGGATGGCCTTGGGATTCACACAGAAGAAATTTGAAAGTACCCAGTGCTCTCCCAAGGCGGAGTATGATTCCGATAGTCTGTAGCTCAGAGAACTTGGAACCTGAAGTCTTTTTGAAAACCACTTCTGTGTTCTCCCAACAGAGTCCCAGCAGCCCCCATGTCAGCTTCTCCTGGGTCAAGGGCCCTGAAGCCTCTCTTCTGGCTCCTGGAAGTTTGGCTTTCATCTCTTTGTCAAAATCAAGGGCAAAGCTAGAATCACATGATGAACAGTCGGCGCCCACAGCAGCCATTACTATTAAGCTATTAAGCTGTTGTAAATGTGTGGAAAGGCAGATGGATGTGAGGAAGGCAGAGAGCACATGACCTTGAGGGTAGCTTCCCCAAAGACCCAGAAAGCAGGTGGGGGCCAGGGACCATGGCCATGACCCAGAAAGCAGGTGGGGGCCAGGGACCATGGCCATGACCCAGAAAGCAGGTGGGGGCCAGGGACCATGGCCATGACCCAGAAAGCAGGTGGGGGCCAGGGACCATGGCCATGGGGCATCTGGTCAAGGAAAGGAAAGGGATGTGGGCTGCAGAGGCACGACCAGGATCTGACCCCAAGAAGACATTTCCAGATTCCGTACTTATTGGTCCTCTGAGGTGCACAGCTTGGCCCTTCTAGTTAAATGACCTTGGGAAAGTTACTGCATTCTTTGAACTTCCATTTTCTCATGCAAAAAATGGGAACATAAGGTCTACTTCAGAGGATTGTTGTGAGGATCGCATGAAACAATCTACAGTCTTATAATGGACAGTGATTATTTTGTGGGCTGTTCTACATTTCAATTTGATTCCTATTTAGGGAAATTCCCCAACTTACGAGTCCTAGTGGAAGACAGAGTTTTGTGTGTGTGTGGTTTTTTTTTTTTTTGAGACAGAATCTTGCTTGGTCACCCAGACTGGAGTGCAATGGCGCGAACTTGGCTCACTGCAACCTCCGCCTCTTGGGTTCAAGCGATTCTCCTGCCTCAGCCTCCCAAGTAGCTGGGACTACAGGCATGTGCCACCACACCCAGCTAATTTTCGTATTTTTAGTAGAGACGGGGTTTCACCATGTTAACCAGGCTGGTCTCAAACCCCTGACCTCGTGGTCCACCTGCCTCAGCCTCCCAAAGTGCTGGGATTACAGCCGTGAGCCACCGCGCCCAGCCCAGAGTTCTTATTCTGCAACGAAACTGGAAATGCCAAACATTTGCTCTTCCAGCTTCCCTTGCAGCTAGAATGTGGCCATGTGACCTGGGCTCCACCAATCAGAAGCAATCATCTTGGACTTTTAACCAGAGTCAGTGACACGAGAAGCAAGAACCGTGGAGAATCTTTTCTGGTAGCAGTAGCGGGTGCAGCAAGATCAAATTGCAGGGCAATAAGTTAGCAACAGAATTCCATGCCCAGGGTTGATGGTGGCAGCAGTGAGAGCCTCAGCACTTACCTAGGGTCCAGTGAAGGTGACAGTAATCACAGTAGCTTCATCAGACTAGTACTGTGGCAAGATTTTGGGCATTGATTTTAGTCTCTAAACCCACTGGTGAATTTCTGAGCTACTCAGTGTCTTTCTCTCTCTTTCTTTTCTTTTTTTTTTTTTTTGAGATGGAGTCTTGCTCTGTCACCCAGGCTGGAGTGCAACGGTGCCATCTCGGCTCACTGCAACCTCTGCCTCCTGGGTTCAAGCAATTCTCCTGCTTCAGCCTCTCAAGTAGTTGGGATTATAGGTGTGCACCACCATGCCCGGATAATTTTTGTATTTTTAGTAGAGACGGGGTTTCACCCTGCTGGCTAGGCTAGTCTCAAACTCCTGACCTCAGGTGATCTGCCCACTTCAGCCTCCCAAAATGCTGGGATTACAGGCTTGAGCCACCACACTCGGCCACTACCCAGTATCTTTCTAGTAAACCCCCTTTTTGGTGAAATTCAGAGTTGCTCGTAACCCAGAACCCAAACTATTACAGGATGTGAATGTGGTACCTAACCCTACTCTCCACCACAATCTAAGCTGGGGACATTCATTTCTCTAAATAATCTAATTTGGGCCAAATTTGAGCTGTGATTAGCATGGGATTATAAAGAGAAAGTCTTTGGAGAGAGATCTCTTTGTAAATTCTGGCTCTATGGGTATGGCTGAGACCGATAGTTGTCATACCAATTTCCACCCTCTCCTTCCTTCTTAGTATGATAACCCTATTTTTTTTTCAGTGGTACTATGCCTAGATAAAAGACTACACTTCCCAGCTTCCTTCATCCTAGAAGACTCTAAGACATTTGGCACACACCCTTTTTGCTCTTTTCGCCTTT
This sequence comes from Homo sapiens, assembly GCF_000001405.40. Taxonomy (NCBI): domain Eukaryota; kingdom Metazoa; phylum Chordata; class Mammalia; order Primates; family Hominidae; genus Homo; species Homo sapiens. Next base: position 74,230,950 of record NC_000014.9, on the reverse strand, counting down.
TTTCTGGCTTCCTTTCTGAAACACAGACATGATGGCTAGTATTCCAGCAGCTGTTTTGGATATGAGGTGACCTTGAAGATGGAAGCCAACATTAGAGCAGAAAGAAGGACGGAGTCTGGGTGCCTAAAAACCCGTGAGCCGCCATATCAGCCCAGGACTGCCCCAATGAGCTCAGTGTTTAAGCCGCTGGTCTCTGATCTCTGTTACTAGAGGCCACAAGTGATTCCTCAGTGATACCATGGAGAAGCATTTGAAATCAAACATTTTGACCTGCCGGAAAATGGAAGGGTTGCTGTCATAGCAGAGATCTGATTTGTCCCCAAGTCCTAACAGCTGGAAATCTCTCTTGGATCTGTCTCTCCTCTCCAGCCTCATAGAACTCGATATTCACTTTATCTTCTTCTCTTCCCTGCCATCTAGATGTCCTCCTCCAGTGTCTTGAGTCATGGCCCCTAGAATAGCTTTTGCAGTGGTCTAGGTACCACCAACTTTGGCTTTGCTGCAGGGAAGCTCCTTACTGTTCTGTTTTGGTGTTTTTTTTCCGTAACGCCCAGCATTCTCTGCACAGAAAAAGCTGAGGTAGGGGGCAGGGCTTGACTCCGGACCAGACTGAAGACTGGCTGAAACAGAGAAGAGGCAAAACACCTCCCCATAAGACATACCCACCAGTGCACCATGACAGTTAACTGTAGCCATGGCAACACCCAGAAGTCACCACTCTTTTTCTAGAAATTTCTGAATAACTTACCCCTTAATTTGCATGCAATTTAAAGTGGGTATAAATGTGACTACGGACCTGCCCTGGAGCTGCTACTCTCAACACTGCCTGTGGGTTCATCCTGTTCTGCAGGGGCAGTCACAGAGCTGCAACACTGCCATCTCAATAAAGCTGTTTTCGGCTGGGTGCGGTGGCTCACACCTGTAATCCCAGCACTTTGGGAGGCCAAGGCAAGCGGATTGCCTGAGGTCAGGATTTCAAGACCAGCCTGGCCAACATGGTGAAACCCCGTCTCTACTAAAAATACAAAAATCTGCCGGGTGTGGTGGTGGGCACCTGTAATCCCAGCTCCTTGGGAGGCTGAGGCAGAGAATTGTTTGAACCTGGAAGGCAGTGGCTGCAGTGAGCTGAGATCGTGCCACTGCACTCCAGCCTAGGCGACAGACTGACAATCTGTCTCAAAAAAACAAACAAACAAACAAACAAACAACAACAACAAAAACCTTCCCAGACAGAGCCCCGATGTGGGGGCTCCCCTGCCCTGCCTCAGAGTTACAGTCATAGTTCTAATCCTGCCTCTAGTACTTGTGGTGTCCTGTGGGGCGAGTCTTTTAGCTTCTCTCTTCCTCAGTTCTTTCGTCTGTAAACTGGGGATAGTGATGCCTGTCCTGGCGTTCTTAGAGGGCTCTCAGAAAAGTGCTCCGAAGATGGTGAAGGATTGTGCAGAAGTCTGGTCATCTGTTTCTTGTTTATAAATGATAACTCAGAGTATATCAACCATCTCATTTACAAGCTTTAGTTATTTTTTCTGTGTTATACTTGTCCACAATTGCGACTCATCTTCCCACATTTCTTACTCTTCAGCCTTTTGAAGATCCACCTGAAGATTTATTCCTGTTGACTTGGTATTATACCCTCTGTCGTTTACATATGACTGACTAGCATTGATCTATTGAGATTTACAACTACCTCTAGCAATCTCAGCTAACGTCTATTGAGTGCTTACTATGTGCCAGGCATTTTGCTCAACACTGTATACAGATTATTATATTTAAAACTCACAAAAAACCATGAGGTGGGTGCTTCTATTATCTCGTTTTTACAGATGAGGAAACTGAGTTACAGCATGGTTACAGTCAGGCAGCTAGTGAAGTTGTGTAGTCAGTAATTGAACTCAGTGAATGAGGTTTTGTAGCAAACAGTTTGGGGACTCTAAGGAAGCAGCAGCTAGGACACAATCTGGGGAGTGCAGGTGGCTTATCAGGGGAGGGGTGACACCTGTGAAAGGTGAAGAGGAGGAAGCAGAACTGGGCAGAAGAAGCCTCAAACTGCAGTGTACATCTGACCATCTCAGTCAACCTAACGGGGAGCTCAGAGCAAAGGTTGTCCATTAGAGGAGCTTGAGCTGGGCAGAAATGGCCAGACCCTGTGTCACTCAAACACTGCAGTGGAGTTCAGAGGGGCTACAGCTAGAGGCCATCTATTAACTGCACTCTTGCACCTGAATAGCAAGTTCTTTCTTAAGGGACATCCAAGCAGTGCAAAGCCATAGTGTTACCAGAAGGGGATCCTGATCCAGACCCCAAGAGAGTGTGAGTCCATATGGTAAAGTGAAAGCAAGTTTGTTAAGAAAGTAAAGGAATAGGCTGGGCGTGGTGGCTCACACCTGTAATCCCAGCACTTTGGGAGCCTGAGGCAGATGGATCATTTGACTCTGTTCTTTGTGTTCTAAATGACTTCATCTCTCAGGCCATCTTCATCTCTCAGGTTGGTTCAGGGATGGGTACCTGACCTAGGTCCCCCCGCAATTTCTTGGGATTTCTGGATTTGAGACTGAGATTTGGGTTTAGTCTGTTGCTGATGGTGGAGAAGATGTAACACAACAATCCTGAGAGTTGTCAGCAACCATTTTTTCTGCCTCTGAAGAAAGTCCGTGGCCAGAGCATCAGGATGATAAGAGGGAGTTGACCAACATGGGGGTCCCTTCTCCAGTCGCTCCTTTGGCTCAAGTTCACCTTCCTGCCCTGGTCAAGGTTGAGCTGTAATGTTCCAGCATTCCCATCAGTTCAATGTGGGTTTCTGTCACGCTATCAACTAAAGAAGATCTTAACTAAGACACTCTGCCTGTTATGTTACAAATCCCATTTTAGAGAATAAGGGTCGGACAGGGTATGTAGCTTGGCTAATGCCAAAGAGAAGTGAGTGGCAGAGATGAGGTCTGAGTCCAGGCCCAGGACACTCCAAAAGCCATGCTCCTTGTGGCCTTCCCCAAAAGAACTCAATGTCGTTGGCCAACCTGTAACCTCACCAGATGCACAGTTCCCAGGCTGGTGATGAGGATGCTGAAGAGAAGCAGTTTTGGTGCTGACCCCACTCAGTGGCCGTGTAGAAGCTTCATCTGCACTCATCTCTTTTAGTAAGCCCATCCAGCCTCTGGAGTGAAGCCTCACCTCAGTGGTCCCTCCAAACCTCTTCTTTTCAGAGCCCCTTTGTTTTCAGCCCTGGGTGGGCCCTGGGCTTCTAGATGCCCATCCCAAGGGTCACTGCCATCTCTATTCCAAGGCCTCAACCTGGCATGCAGCACCCTCCTGCCCCTTTCCCATGGGCTCACTGGCTTTGCACTTCTGCCTCTTCCCACAGGGCACTTCTTGTGCATGGCGTGTCTCCTAGGCCTCCTTCCCTTTCTGCCATCCTTGCCCTACCGCTAGGCTTTTCTCCTTCCCCTTCTTCCTTAGCCCCAGGGGTGCTTCCAATATTCTAGGGGCCACCCATGGCCCAGAGCCTTCCAGGCCCCTCTACTCCACTCTACTTCTTGACCTAGGTTTACCTCTTCCCATTCCCCAGCCTGCCGGGCTCAGACAAGGCCCAGCCTCGATGACTCCCAGATGCCCCTGCTATACCGAAGTTCCCTGCCAGCGGCTGGTCAGGGGCAAACAAGACTTAGAAAGGCTGGGCTTGGTGGCTCACGCCTGTAATTCCAGCACTTTGGGAGGCCGACACTTGAGGTCAGGAGTTCAAGACTAGCCTGGCCAACATGGTGAAGCCTCGTCTCTACTAAAAATACAAAAATTAGCCGGACATGGTGGCAGGCATCTGTAATCCCAGCTACTTGGGAGGCTGAGGCAGGAGAATGGCTTGAACCCGGGAGGCAGAGGTTGCAGTGAGTCGAGATCACACCACTGCACTCCAGCCTGGGTGGAAAAAAAAAAAAAAACAGGACTTAGACGAATCACCAAGAATCTGAAAAATGCCTTCTTAGGAAAACCTCAACCCAGCATACCTTTATTATTATTATTATACAAGTCATACATGTTCATGGTGAAAAATAAGAAAATACTGATAAGTAAAAAGAAAAACATTAAAATCATCCAGAGATAACTGCCATTAATATTTTGGTTTACCTGTTTTTTGGCAGCTTTCTAAGCATGTAAGTACTTGTATTCCCAAAAATAGGGAGCCAGGCACAGTGGTTCACACCTGTAATCCCAGCTACATAGGAGGCTGAGGCAAGAGGATCACTTGAGCCCAGGAGTTTGAGACAAGCCTGGGCAACATAGTGAGACCTTGTGTCTATTTTTTTAAAAGTGATCCTTCTGTATACTGTTTTGTAAACTTTCTTCCTCCCTGTGTACATTGTAATATACCCCAAATGTCTTCTACTCCTCTTTGATACACATTTACTAAATGTCTATGGGTGTTCCCTGACTCAAGCTCAAGTCCTTTCCACTTAAGGCTGACAGAACCCACCTATAGAACCACCCATTGCTCTCAATGCCTTGCCAAACTCTGGCACTGGGATGGGTCCATGGGGGGATCCTGCCAGGGCCTCTGCCTCATTGCACTCAGTGACTGGCCAGGGACAGAGCACAGAAGCCTGTGGGTGGCAAAGGGCAAGACTGGGAGGTGGGGTGCAAATGGCTATGTTCTGGGGGGACTTGGGGTAGGAGAGAAGATGGGAAGCCTGGTAGGGTGGGGGTGGAGGGCCAGGGCCAAGGTCTCAGGAAACGGGCATCCGGGAAGACTGCCCAGAACACTGTTATGAGCCTGAAGACAGGTCGGCATTACTTGGCAAGGTGTTAGGGGGAGGAAGAGAGGGCTCCGGAGGAAGGCCTGTAACGTGAACAAAAGTGGAGAAAGGGCTCCCTTAACCTTTTCAATTCTCAGTTTTTCCTTCTGTAAAATGGGAATCTCTTTTGAAAACCTGCTCTGCAGTGAGACTGAGAGGACCCAGGGACATGATGGCGATGAAGCATGCAGACAGGCCCCCGCGCACTGTGGGTGCTGGGTCTTTCAGCCTTTCATTCTCCCCAATCTCCTCCAGGCCAAGATCACCCACAAGGGCCGGGCGCAGTGGCTCACGCTTATAATCCCAGCACTTTGGGAGGCTGAGGCAGGTGGATCACCTGAGGTCAGGAATTTGAGACCAGCCTGGCCAATATGGTGAAACCCCGTTTTTACTAAAAATACAAAAAATTAGCCTGGTGTGGTGGCGCATGCCTGTAGTCCCAGCTACTCGGGAGGCTGATTCTCCTCCTCAGGAGGAGAATCGCTTGAACCCAGGAGTTGGAGGTTACAGTGAGCCGAGATCAAGCCATTGCACTCCAGCCTGGGTGACAGAGCAAAACTCGGTCTCCAAAAATAAAAAGATCACCCACAAGGCAGCGTGGTGTAGTGGTTAATGACTCTGGCTCTTAAATTACATGGTCCTGGGCTCATGTCCCCCATTTACCACCTGCTAGCCGGTGACCTGGGAACTTAGCTTTCACCATGCCTCAGTTTCCCCTTTTTAATATGGGCCATGCAGGGAAAACTTCCTAGAGGAGGCAGCAGTGGGGCTGGACTATGAAGCTAGAATGATCACTAGCCTGCAGCAGTGAGGCCCCAGCTCCTTTGCCTGTGACCATCTCCTCCCAACGCTTTTCCACCAAATCTCAGGCTTAGGACACCCCTCTGGAAAAATCCCACCCTGCCCACCATCTCCTCATGTTTTCTTTTTCTTTTCTTTTTTCTTTTCTTTTTTCTTTTCTTTTCTTTTTCTTTTCTTTCTTTCTTCCTTTCTTCCTTCCTTTTTTTTTTTTTTTTGATGTTTTGCTCTTGTCACCCTGGTTAGAGTCCAGTGATGCACTCTCGGCTCACTGCAACCTCCGCCTCCCGGGTTCAAGTGATTCTCCTACCTCAGCCTCCAAGTAGCTGCGATTACAGGCACGTGCCACCAGGCCCAGTTAATTTTTGTATTTTTAGTAGAGACAAGGCTTCACCATGTTGGCCAGGCTGGTCTTGAATTTCTGACCTCAGGTGATCTGCCTGCCTCGGCCTCCCAAAGTGTTGGGATTACAGGCGTGAGCCACTGCGCCTGGCCATCCTCGTGTTTTCTTTTAGCCATCCTGGGAAGAAGTTGGGAAGAAGGTCACCCACTCTCACACGGCCACAGCCCAATTTTCTCTTGAAAATCGCTACTAGAATCACCATTTGTCATAGTCCAAGGGTCGGGGACAGAGTCTGGGGGAATAATTTGACGAAGGTGGGCAGGAAACCCCCCTCCCTCCCGTCGAGCCCTGCTGGAGGGAAGGACTGTGGTAGGCGCAGAGGTGAGGAGGCCAACCGAATGCAGAAACCCAGCCAGGGAAAGGTTTAGCCCCACAATCCAATTCCACTTAATATCCCATAATAGAATGCTGTCAACATGAGTTTCCTGTTCAAGTGGATTTGTTAGGAAGGCTGGGGAGGTCAGAGGTGTATTCCGGCCCTCCTGGTGTGGGGACTCCAGTAGGGTGTGTGTGGTGGGGGTTACTTGGGCACAAGGGCCCCCTCCCCACCCTCTCCCCTCAGCAAGCCAAACAGGCTCTCAGGAAGGGGTTTGTCACACTTGTCTGTACCAAGACCTCATGAGTTTGTGATGGCTTGCAGAGGGTCCTGGAGCCTCCTGAGGGAGCGTGCATCTCCTTTGAGAAGCGTCCAGCCACTAAGGCAGAGAGCAGGATATTCATGTGAAGGGATTCAGACCTTGAGCAGAAGGTGGGGAGGGGTTCCCAGTTCGGGGGAAGGTACACAGGAGGAGCCACAGGGCCAAACTTGAGGCAACCTTGGGGGGCAAGGGGCCACTTAGGGAGAACCCTGAAGATCTGGGTTGGCCTCAGCCCCCATGAGTGACAACCCAGTGGGTGACCCCACGTAGTTACTCAAACTGGCTGCTGCCTGCTCCTTCTGCCCCCCTGGCTGGCCCATTGCTAGGCGTCCTTCCTCCCAGCTGACTAAGAATCCTTTTGGGGGAGACTTCTGTGAGAGCTTGTGATCGAGCGGTCCCCGTGGATCAGACACAGTGCTGGGCCTTCCATATGCTGCTGCCTCATCAAATTCTGTGGAGCCAGGCCAGGGAGCAGCAGCAGGGGTCAAGGCTGGGGAGAAGGGCTGTGTGAGCACAGGAGCCGTTATTATCCTCATTTTCCCCAAGTAATAGGGGCTCAGGGGTTTTAAGAAACAAAACTAGGGCCAGGCGTGGTCGCTTACACCTCTAGCCTCTAATCCCAGCACTCTAGGAGGCTGAGGCCAGTGGATCACTTGAGCCCAGGAGTTTGAGACTAGCCTGGGCAACATAGCAAGATCCCATCTCTACCAAAAAAAAAAAAAAATAGAAAGGCATGGTGGTGCACACCTGTAGTGCCAGCTACTCAGGAGGTTGAGGCAGGAAGATCACTTAAGCCCAGGAGTTTGAGGCTTCAGTGAGCTGTGATTGAGTCACTGCACTCCAACCTGGGCAACAGAGTGAGGCCCTGTCTCTAAAAAATATATTTTAAATAAATAAATAGAAACAAATCAAGACCTCACATAGTAGGGGAGGGCACTGGGACAAGCATGAAGTTCTTTCTGACCCCAAAGCTGGTGCAGGAGAGATGGGGAGATGAATGAAGACTCAGTGAGAGCCTTCAGAAACCCAGCCTGCGCCTGGTCTTGGAGAGCGGATGTTGGGTGCATTTTTCTGTAAGTATCCAGGAGGGTGTGGGGCAGAAGTTGCAAGGATGAGGTCAGGCCTTGGCTCCTCTGGGGCCTGCGGGTGGGTGAGACCAGGGGAGGGGGGAATGGGCCTGGGGCCGAGGAGGGCAGGGCTGGGCCTCCGGCTCTTTTGTGAGCTGTTTTAATTCGTGTAAATGAGGGTTTTTAATTTGTTATTCTGGGTTTTATTTCTATTACCATCTCATTTGCCTGTAAACCCTATTCTGCCCCTGCCTGGACCGAATTCCATTTGATGCATTAGGACTAATTCTCCTCCCAAAGGGTTAGATGTTTTCTCCCCACACAAAAGTCGCTTATTTTGGATAAAGAGACGATTAGATTTATCTTTAATATTTTAATGGCAGCTGGGATTAGTGGGCAAACAGCCCCGACTGGGGTTGTTCACGGCGGATTAAGTTCTGATCAACTCTCAGATGGGGAGCCCCCACCCCCACCCCACTCCACTTTCTGTTTTCCACAAAGTGCTTTTTATTATTTTTTGTTGAAAAAAAAATTCCCTTGTCTTTTGGAGCATCATAAATTCCATTTGCTGTTTTCTATTAAATCAAGTTGATTAAATTCGTTGTGACTCTTTGCACATAGATCTTTTTAATTTTAACGTCTCCAGCATAAAATCTTTAATGGTGCCATTTGAAATTGCTGCAATATACAGTACAGGCCCTGAGAAAACAGATGGAAATGAGGTTCTGCCAGGGATGGGGGAGGTCCTATCAGGAGGGGTACAGTTGGGAGAAGGCACAGACCTCCAGGTGAAGGCAGGGGACTGACTCTTCCTGAGGTCCAGAGAGCCCCACGTTCTCCATTCAGCTATTTTCTAGCTTCAGGGCTTTGGCTAGGAACTTGGCCCATGCTATGGAGGGCTTGCTATGTGCCTGGCACTGTGTATGCATCGCCAGTCATCCTTACAAGGAGGCTCAGAGAGAGGTCACTTGCTCAAGGTCACGTAGCAAGTCGGTGGCAGTGGTTGAGTCCAGATTGTCTTTGCCAATAAAGCCTCATCTCCCCTTTCATCAGTAAAATGGGGGTGATCGGTTCCGCCCTGGGTCACAGGTGCTTGGAAAGATTGGATGAGGTCCACAAACTGCTTTGGGAACAGTACAGAGCTGTGCTCTCCTGGGGGGATGGAGGAGTGGGGCTGACCCATTTGGGCCTCAGAGGCTCTGCTATCACTGGGTAGAGCTGCCTTTTGAGACCCTGGGAACCTTCACTAACTCCAGGGTCTCGGCTTCCCCCCGCCCCTCAGCTCTCCAGCTCTCCGGCCTCCGGCCTCAGGCTTTTTCTCCCCGTCTCTAATCCTGACCTCATCAAGTCCTGGGAAGAGGGTTGATCCACAGGAGCAAATCCCTCATTCAGAGGGGCAAAATCAGCTTAATTTGCAGCAATTTGAAGCAGGTCTTTGCCAGGATTTGAATATCAAATTATCCCACAGCCTGGGCTGGTCTGGGAGGCCTCCCCCGGCTGCAATATGGACCGATGTGCTCAGGCTTCACCAGGGAGATTGTCCTGGGAGTGACTGAAGCTGAGGCTGTGGAGATGGGAGTGAGTGTCAGAGGGTAGTGGGCAAGGTGGGGGTCACCAGTCAGCCCCCACTGCCAGAGGGCACTGCAGCAGTGACTGAGGGACAGATGGAGTTTGGGGTCAAAACCTCCTGTTCTTGAGACTCACCGGGGGCTCTTGTCAAATGTGCGGATTCCCAGGCCCTTCTACAAACATAAGAAATCAAGATTTTCTTGACTAAGAAAGTTTAGAAAAATCCGGTGCAGCTCAGTTAGCCAATCAACAAACACTTGCTGTGCACAATCTGTACTGCCTCTCATTTTGAGAGAATCAGCCTCCTCTGGTGCCCACCCTGTTCATTCCCAGCCTCTGGTACTGTGGACAATATTTCCTTGGCTGTCTGCTCCATGATGGCCCCTGAGGCCTGAGTCAGCGGCTGCAGAGAGCTCTTCAGCCTTCCCTTCCTGGTCTGCATGCCCAACTCCTCTGGCCACCCGGCCCTTTCATTCCTTTTCTGCAAGCTCAGGCCTAGCAGACATCCTCTTATGTCAGTCACACAGGCCTCGCTGCCCAGACCTGAGCCCCGGGGCTCAGACCCCTCTCATGGGCATGTCATGAGCTGTGAGCCTCTTCAGGAAGGCCCGAGGTTGGTGAAACATTCTGGTCCCGCCACAGTGTTGTGTCCCTGTGGGCCCTGCAGTGTAAAAGTAGCAGCCAGGGATGTTGGGATGGCTTTGCGCAGGCCCACTGTCCAGCCAGCACCATCAACAGAGATGAGAGGCTCTCGGTGTGACAAGCATTATAAGAGCCACAAGTGCTTCCATTTAATTCTCACAAAATCCTATGGAGTAGGTACTATTATTATATACACCCATTGTATAGATGAGGAAACTGAGGCACAGAGAAATTAGTAACATGCCCCACCCAGGTCATACAGCAATAAGAGGTGGACCTGGGATGCATACGCAGGCAGTCTGACTCCAAACTGCTCCTCTTAACCACTTTGTTCTGTCTCCATCTATCCACCTTTACCTAAAATTTTGTCCTTCTCTATATTCTCCACAGCAATGACTTGCCTTATTTTTAAAGGCATAATCACAGTGTGTTTGGGGAGCAAAGAAAGGAGCGCATAACCTACACTAGGGCAATCACAGAGGCTTTTTGGAGGTGGTGTCTTTATTTGTTCAATGATGTGGTAGAGCAACCACTGTGTGCCCAACACTGGTGATACAGACATGAAGAAGCCATGGAGCTCACAAACGGGGGCCTGAACACCCCATCGGCAGTGCTCAGTGCACTGATGGAGAAAACACAGGGCATCGTAGAAACACTGGGGACACCCCAAAGCCCAGGAGATCAGGGAAGACTTCCTGGAGGAGAGGCACTAGTCCCCTTCACTAGATCTAGTCATTAACCTGAGGTTCAGATGGCCCAGAGGTCCCACTGGGCACACTCACCCTTCTTTGTCTCAGCCAGTCCATCCTCCGTGGACCGTCTGGACCAACCAAGCTTGAGACCCTCTCTGACCACCTGTCCTAGACAGGTAGACCCCCTCAGGGGAAGTCTGTGTTCCCTACTGCTATGTGTTCTTAGAGGCGGGGCCTGAGCAGGAACGAAACTCCTGAACCCCAGATCCTATGCCTAGCAGGGTCTGGTGTAAGTCATTGGCTGCCTTGGGAAAGCCCAGTGGTTTGATTCAAGGATGACTAGAATTTAGAGCAAAAAGGGACCCCAGAAGCCACCCAAACCTGTTTTGAAGGAAGCCACAGGAGATGCCCACGCCCCACAGCTCAGAGATGCTGCAAATTCCAGCCTCCCAGTGCCCTATCTTCTCTCTGGGGTGGTCTAGCCCCACCTGGCACTCCCCCAGTCTTTGTCCCCGTGTCTGCCTTGCCTGATGGTGGCCAGGGGGCCTTTCCGGAATAACGATGGTATTGGCTCAGATTAAGGGCAACTAGCTGGCTCTTGGCTTTTCATTTTTATATAACAACTAATCTCCTTCTAATCAGCCATTATTAAATTATATTCCATTTTTAATTCATTCACAGATCACCGTTGGGACAGCTGGATGGATAATTGGAGAGAGATAATTTATGTAAATGAGGAGCAGCAGAAGGTGGGGGAGAGGGAGGCCCAGGGCGCCAAACGGAGCCCCCTCTGTGTCCAGGCTGGGGAGGGGGCAGTGGCCTGGCTCCTCCTGGAAACCCGCGCCTGGGGATGCTGGGAGGATTGGGGGCTGCCATGGGACCTCAGGGCTCCTGACCGGTGGTTCCTGGTGTGGCCCCTCAGCATCACCTTGAACACTTTTGGCAAATGGGAAGCTCACTACTTTGGGGGCGGAGTGGCTCTCAGACATCAGCTCCCCCTTTTAGAAGCAGATCCTGAGAGGCAGAATGCCCCAGAAAATTCTGGAGTCAGAGCTGTTTTTGATTCCAACTCCACCACTGTGTGCCGTTTCCTAACCTTAGTTCCCACGTCTGCAAAACGCAGGTAATGACAGTATCTACCTCATAGAGTGCTGTGAAGCTTAAGTGCCTGGCACCTAAGGAAGAGACCAAGACAAGTACATGGTGGCTCTTATCACCCTTATAGGACAGTGTGTATCTTTCAGAATCTTCCTCTCTAACATCTGCCTTCTGGCCATGGAGCTTCCTTCTGGTAACACACAAAAGAAATCCACTTCCTTTGCATATCTGAAGACAGCTCTGTACCACTGATAATAACACTCCGGAGGCTTGTGTCTCATTGTGTCCTCCGTGTCTCATAGTGTCTCATTGTATCCTCGGAACGACTATAGAAATTGGGGGCGATTGCGTCCATTTTACAGATGAATATACTGTGGACCCAAGCTCTCTCCTGCCAATTCCTTCAACAAAAACGATAACAAGCCCCAGAAGCCTGCTTAGAAAGGAACACGAGGCTCAGAAAACCTGGATCCCAGCCGGAGGCTATTTTGGGAAGGTGCCTTGGGGACTGGCAGGCAGGGTCAGGGATGGCAGGGAAGGTGGGTGAGAGAGGTTGGACCTCCACCCTTCTTGGCTGTCCCTTTGGGGCCCCAAGAATCAGGCACGATGGGCATTCATGGGCACAGGTGGTCTGACAGAGCTTGAGGGGCAAGGTCTGCCTGTGCCTGGGGCTGGCATGGGCTGGCAGGGAGGCCCTTGGACCATTCCCAGAGGGAGACAGGGGATTAAGGGGGGTTAGGGAGGTGGTCCCAGAGGGTCCATGCAGAGTAATGGGATTAGCTCTTGGGCAGTGAGTGAAAGTTATTATCGTGTGGGGCCTCTGGCCTCCCACCCAAGGCTGCAGCTGTCACCCATCCTGGGAGGCACCAACAGCCCCCTCCACCCCCACCTTGGGGCAGGCTGGCACCTCTTCTCCCCACAGGCTTTTCTGCTGTGGTCATCTGCCTAGGGGCTGGCCGCCTAGCTTTAGCCTCCTGTCGGTCCTTGGCAGACTGGGCCACCCACACAGTATGCTCTAGACTTGCTCTGTGCCTCGGTTTCCCCTTGAACAGAAAGATACAAGAAGGTGCTTGAGATCCTCTGAGGCATGGGGGTTCGGAGCCAGGCCCCCTGGGTTTCCGGCTCTGCCACGCATTCGCTGTGTGACCCTAGGTACATCTGTCAGCCTCTCTGTGTCCTAATTGGTAAAATGGGGGCAGTAGCAGAGCAGCGTTAGGGTTTTCATAGCGGAGGGCTGGGTAGGGAGCATAGGGTCGGCCTGTTGGTGCTGGGCACCTCCTAGAGGTCGGGGCCGCGGAGGGCTGCGGGCCTAGGGCCTAATGACAAGAAGGGACCAGTCTTGTCGGAGCCTCGCAGCCCCTGCGAGGCGGGTGAAAGGCAGCGCCTGAGCGAAGCCGCAAGCGGGAGACTTCGGAGACGCTCCCGGCTCCCTCTAGCGGTGGCCGCGCGAGTGGCGCGGCGCGAGCGCGATCCCCTCGGGGTGGGAGGAGACCAGAGAGGCAGGTGGCGGTTGCCGGTCCGGGAATCTGGGCCAGTCCGCCTTCCTCCAAGGCATCAGAGGGGAGGGATTTCAAGGGTCCTCAAAGGTTCCCCTTCTTAAGCAATGCATAGCACCCATCCTAGGAGCGTCCGTCCGTTCACTTGTATGTCTGTCCGAATGGAAGTGCCTCCTTGGGCCAGGTGCGGTGGCTCACGCCTATAATCCCAGCACTTTGGGAGGCCAAGGCGGGCAGATCACTTGAGGTCAGGAGTTGGAGACCAGCCTGGCCAACATGGTGAAACCTCGTCTCTACTAAAAAACAAAAAATTAGCCAGGCGTGGTGGCGCATGCCTGTAATCCCAGCTACTTGAGAGGCTGAGGCAGGAGAATCGCTTGAATCGGGGAGGCAGAGGTTGCAATGAGCTGAGGTAGCACCACTGCACTCCAGCCTGAGTGACAGAGTGAGACTCAACTATAAACAAACAAACAAACAAACAAATAAATAAAGGGCCTCCTTGGAGGCCCAACACATCAGGGACATCTCATCCACCGCTTACTCCTCCCAAGCCCAGCAGAGCAGGGAGGGTGGCGGAGCATTTGCCCAGTGTGCACGGCTAATGCCATCCCGTCCACGTGATCAAGTGGTACCTGGAAGAACCTGACAAGGCAGCTCCAGACTAAGGACAAGTCAACCCCTTTTCTAGCCTGTTTCCTCATGGTGAACTGACAGGGTGGGACTAGGTCAGTAGTTCCACCTTTTCACTCGGAAGAGCCCCATCACCCCGTTTTTTAGAGACAGGGTCTTGCTTTGTCACCCAGGCTGGAGTACAGTGGTGCCTCCACAGCTCACTGCAGCCTCGACCTCCTGGGCTCAAGTGATCCTCCTGCCTTGGCCTCCCAAAGTGCTGTGATTACCGGCGTAAGCCACCGCACCCGGCCCAGGGAGGCACTTCCATTCGGACAGACATACAAGCTAATGGACAGACGCTCCTAGGTGTGAGCCACTGCACCCGGCCAACTTTTACGTAATTTTAAAGAGAAGAAAAAAGTTCACATTCATGCAGTGGAATACTGTGCTGCTATTCCACATTCAATCTCCAAGACAGTATTTATTTATTTTTTTTTAGACGGAGTTTCGCTTTTGTTGCCCAGGCTGGAGTGCAATGGCGCAATCTCGGCTCACTGCAACCTCCACCTCCCGGGTTCAAGCTATTCTCCTGCCTTAGCTTCCTGAGTAGCTGGGATTACAGGCATGTGCCACCACGCCAGGCTAATTTTGTATTTTTAGTAGAGATGGGGTTTCTCCATGTTGGTCAGGCTGGTCTCGAACTCCTGACCTCAGGTGATCCACCCGCCTTGGCCTCCCAAAGTGCTGGGATTACAGGCATGAGCCACTGCGCCCGGCTGACGGTATTATTTTTAAAAAAGGAAGATGGACAGTACGTTTTATTTCACTTGTGAAAATGAAATATGTATATACATATAAATATTTTTTAATTTCTGGAAAAGTGTATGAAAAACTGGTTACTGGTTGGTTGTGGGAAACAGAATCAGATGGCTGGAGGGCAGGGGAGTGAGGGAAGCCTGTGGTTTCCTCTACACCCTTATTTTAGTTTAAAAAATTGTGTGTATATGTATTATCTATTTTGATAAATAATTCATTAAACATAACAGTATATACAGGTGTAACATATTCACGGAATCTCTTACCACTCCTGTCAGCACACAGTAGGCACTTAATAAGTGCTAGCTTTTTTTTGTTCTTTGTCTCTCCAGAGCATCCATTAATGATTTGTGTTCACCTGACCATCACCCCTTTACAGTGAGCTTAATTAGTAAGGTACAATGTTTGCTAAATGACCGAGACCAAGGAGAGGAAAGATGTTTCCAAGCTTTCATGGCGGCGAGGCTAAGGGTCTCTGTTACCACAGGAGATAGGGAAAGGTCTTCCTGTGCCAGGGCTGAAGTAGTGGGTACAGATTACAAGGGGCGGCTAGGGTGGGGTGAGGGGACAGATCTGGCATGGGAGTGGTGGCCTTTGACAGTCAGTGGGAGCGCAGAGCTGTCCAGGTGGCCCCCAGCCTCACCCTGCCCTGTGCCGAGGAGAGCGGGAACTCTGTTCAGCCTCCCAGGACCATGGCTGGGGGCATGAACTCAGTGCCCAGGGGCTGCCTGGAGACCCCCCTTGCTTTAGGCCCTGCAGTCCCAAGACCCAAGGGGCCCTCTTCTTCTTGGTCTCTAGTTAGAGAACTGTGGTCTTCTCATCTGGTGAGCTCCATATGGCACCAAGGGCACTTTGTGAGTGGGGCTCTGATCCCTGGAAGGTGCTGGGCGATGGGGAGGGAGTGGAGAGGAAGTGGTAGCCAGATAGCCCGGCATCCAGCAACCGTGCGTCCTAGCAGCCCATTCACATTTTTCTTTTCTCTTTCCTGTTTTTTTTTTTTTTTTTTTTGAGACAGTCTCACTCTGTTGTCCAGGCTGGAGTGCAGTGGCACGATCTCAGCTCACTGCAACCTCTGTTTCCCAGGTTCAAGCGATTCTTCTGCCTCAGCGTCCTGCGTAGCTGGGATTACAGGCACCCGCCACCTGGCTAATTTTTGTATTTTTAGTAGAAACAGGGTTTCTCCATGTTGGCCAGGCTGGTCTCGAACTCCTGATCTCAGGTGATCCACTCGCCTCGGCCTCCCAAAGTGCTGGGATTACAGCCATGAGCCACCACGCCTGGCCAGCCCACTCACATTTTTCAAGGGTGCACTACAGGCTTGAGGCCCGGGGGCTCAGAATTTGGGGATACAATACAGCTTCAGCAGTTGTTAGGTGAGGTGGCCCTGGGTCTTAAACCACCCATGTCCACTGTTGCCACTAGTAAAGACATTGAACATTTACCATGTGGCAGGTGCTCCACAAGCATGATCCTACTGAACCCTCACAAAGACCCAGGACAGTGTTTAGAACAAAAAAAATTTTCTTCCCAGGGATGGAAACTGTGGCTCAAAAACATTGTCTCTTTCTGGGTTCACAGAACTCACAAGTGGCCAGGCCAGCATTGGAAGCCAGCTCTGCCTGCCCGCACAGGCCTGGACGCCCAGCCACAACCTGGTGTCCCCTCTGCCCAGCTCTCGCCTTGGCTCTCAGTAAGTGCCTGGAGCTGGTCACCACGCCTTGAAGCTCCGCCCTTCTCCGTGGCCTCCAGTTCCTACCGCCCCACTGCCCCAAAGCTGTCTCACCTGCCTCTAGGCTCTGTACCTCCCTTCCAGTCCACTCAGCTTCCCAGGAGGTCCCCAAGTACCCCAGTGTCTGGGGACAGTGGTGGGCAGAGGGCCCCAGGGCCTCTCAGCTGGGCCCATGGCTGAGCGCTGTGGGGAGGCGGGCGCAGTGCACAGAGCTGATCCTAACCAAGTTTGCCAGCCCAGCTTTTCTCATGGCTCTCACACAATGGTCTGCTTTGTGCCCACCTGCCGATAATGCTTAATTAGGCGAGGAGGTGATTAATTTGAGGTAATTGACAGCTAATTAGAGGCCCACAGGCTCATTAACTTGACATCTTGTCTTCGTGAATTGGCTGAGTAGGGTCAGGTGATGCAAGCCGCTGCTTCTCCCTCCCCAGCTCTCCCGGCCCCTGTAGGCTGAGGCGATCACCTAGGGGAGGGCTGGGCCGACCCAGGAGTTCAGGTGGGGCAGTCCCAAGGCCAAGAGTAGAGGAAGCCAAGGCAGTGAGGGAGGAAGGGTCCGGATGGAGGTGTCTGCCCTGACCTTAAGAGGGAGAGAGTGGGCAGGGAGTGAGGGCTTGTGGGTACTTCAGCAAAGACACGTAAGAGAAGTGGGGTATTAACAGGGCCGGAGGGCGGGAGGGAGAGCTGGTGTCCATGAAGGGAGGAGGGATGAGGGGAAGCAGGTGAGTGGGGCAGCCTGTTGGAACTAAGCATAGGCTGTGAGGTGACACAGACCTGGGGCTGGATCCTAGCTCTGCTACTAACCAGCTAGGTGACTGTGAACCAGTGATTTAATCGCTAAACCTCAGGCTTCTCCGCTGTAGAATGGGAATAATAATGGTACCTGCCTCAGGAGGTTGTCATGAAGAGTCCATGAAGCACCGAAGTAAAGGACAAATCTGTGAATTGAATGAGCAGGGTCAGGCTGAGCAGGATTTGTACCCGGGGGCCTGATGAGTGCTCAATCAAATGTTAACTAGTCCATTAAAATTTTTTAAAATAAAAAGTTAACTATTCTTGGTGGCAGGAAGGAGTGACAAGAAGAGAGAGTGATTGGGTGGAATGGGCCCCAGTGCTGTGGGGAGGCAATGGCAACCCCCTCCCAAGATAAGCCACCGTTACCCTGCAGGACACCTGCAGGCCTGATCACAGTGGCCTGGTGGAAGGTGTGGGGAAAAGACCTTCTTGTTGTTGCCATCTCTTTTGGGCACGGGGCATGCAATTCAGCAATATATATTAAAGTTTAAAATGCATGTGGTCTTTGACCCAGCAATTCCCCTGCTAGTGATATATCCACAGATACCTAAACACAAGGGTATCTGCTCATCACCACATAGTTCGTAGTAGCAGAAGACAGGAAATGACCTGAATGTCCATCACAGGGCCTGGCTAGGTAACTGAAGGCACATCCATATAGTGGAATAGTATGTAGCTGTTACATCTCTAGGTACCAATATGAACAAGATCCAAGATAAAAAAAAAAGCAAGCTGCAGAACAGGTGTAGTTTCCACAAGCTGTTAACTAGTGGTCTGAGGGTTATGGGATGGCAAGAAGATGTATTTTTTCATAATCTGTTCATTTTAAATATAGTTTGTATTTACTACCTTTTCAAAAAGTATTTAAAAAGTCATACTTTTTTTTCCCAAATGAAATCTAACTTGAAATCTGAATTTATAGGCAAAGTGCCTCTGGTTGAACTGGGGGTGGGGGCCCAGTCCTACCCACCTATTTCCTTCCTCCCCTCCGCTACAGGCTCCAAGAGGATCACCTGGAATCCATCATTGTCCACTGGAACTTTCTATGATGATGGAAATGCATGCAGTTCTGCACTGTCGAATACAGTGGTAGTCAGTAGCCATAAGTGGCTACTGAGCACTCAAAATGTGCCTAGCGCAACTAAGAAACTGAATTTATTTTATTTTATTTTATTTTAAAAATAAAGGCTAGTCTCAAACTCCCAACCGCAGGTAATCTGCCCGCCTCAGTCTCCCAAAGTGCTGGGATCACAGGTGTGAGCCACTGCGCCCGGCCTGAAGATCCTTTCTAACAGAATCAGAATTGCACTGATCGGAAGCATGTCAGAGATGCTGGTAGCTCTCTTGGAATCCCAGTTATTTTAGGAAGGAGTGCCTGAATGATCCATGAGTGAAAAAGCCTATCTTTGGCTTTAAGATCAGTGGCCAGTTCCATCTGGGAAGAATTTAAGTGATGAGTTAGGTCACTGGAGGCATCCATTTGGCAACTGTACAATGAACATCTATGATAGGTCAGGCTCTGGAGAAACAGAAACACACATCTGGTCCTCGCTCTTGAGGAGCCCCCAGTCTGGGGACTGATTTCTCAGTAAAGGGTGGGTAGACAAAGGTGCTCCCTCGAAGGAGAGCCCAAGGGTGCAGCATCTGGGCTTGGAGTTTGACTGACAGCCCTCCCCCACATTGAGGTCACGGTGAGTGAGGGCACAGGACAGGGCCCTCCAGCCCTTATGCTCAGTCACTGGTGGAGCATGAGTGGCAGCTGCCAAAGGGACATGTTGACCATCTTCTGTCCTTCTTTCTGACTTCATAGCTTTGAACCCAGGGTGAGTCTGGGATCCTCTAGATTCCCCTATGCTATTGCCCCAAATAGCTTCCATGGGGTGGTTTGAAACATAAAAACCATCAGCTTTCATCAACACTTCCCTCTAGAGGCTCAGAGAACCTTAATTTCTTTTAAGGCACAGCTTACCTAAAGTGTGCAGCCACTAACTGCACAGCTCGATGAATGTTTACACACATACCCTCCTGTGTTAACCAGCACTCAGATCAAGACAGAGAATATTTCCAAAACCCCAGAAGGCTCCCCGGGCCCCTTTTCAGTTAATACCTCCAAGGTTACTACTATTTAGACTTCTATCACATAGATTAGTTCTGCCTGTTCTAGAATTTCATACAGATGGAGTCATACGGTATGTGCCCTTCATTCGTGTTTGGGAGATTCATCCATATTACTGTGTGAAGCGGCATGGTAGTTTGTTCATTCTTTATTGCCAGTTGGCATTCCACATAGAATATACAATCTATCCATTCTCCTGCTGATGGCCTTTGTTCCCCAGTTTTTTACTTGAATGAATAAAGTTGCTATTGTTTTCACACGTGTCTTTTGGTGTCAACTCATTTTTGTTGGGTATAAGTGGAATAGGCAAAGGTATATTCTTTGAATTCTTTTTTTTTTTTTTTTTTTTGAGACAGTCTCACTCTGTTGCCCAGGCTGGAGTGCAGTAGCACAATCATGACTTTCTGCAGCCTCAAACTCCTGGGTTCAAGTGGTTCTCCTGCCTCTGCCTCCCAAGTAGCTGGGACTACAGGTGTGCACCACCATGCCTGACTAATTTAATTTTGGAGAGATGAGGTTTCACTATATTGCCCAGGCTGGTCTTGAACTCCTGGCCCCAAGTGATCCTCCTGCCTCAACTTCCCAAGGTAATGGGATTACAGGTGTGAGCATCATGCTTGCCACCCCCTGTCTTTTTTTTTGACAGCGTCTCACTCTGTGGCCCAGGCTGGAGTGCAATGCTGCCACCATAGCTCACTGCAGCCTTGAACTCCTGGGCTCAAGCCATCCTTCCGGCACTGCCTCCTGAGCAGCAGGGACTACAGGGATGTACCACTGCGCTGGCTAATTTTATTTAATTAAAAACATTTTTTTTGTAGAGATGGGGTCTCACTATGTTGCCCAAGCTAGTCTCTAGCTCCTGGACTCAAGTAATCCTCCTGCCTCAGCCTCCCAACATGCCGGGATTACTGGTGTGAACCAACGCATCTGGGACACTTGATCCTTTCGACAACCTGGTGAAGTAGTTATTTTCCCCCTTTAACGGAAAAGGAAACTAAGTTCAATAAGGGTAACAATCCTATCCAAGGCCACACCCCAAAGCTATTAAGTAGCAGAAACCACATTAAAACTAGAGTGATCAACGGTCACATGGTCAAGACTGTTATTCCTCCCAGGAAACCCCTGAGTTCCAAGCAAATCAGACGGCTAGTCACCCCAATTCAAACCCGACTGGACTCAAAAATGGAGCTTTTTTTTTGTTTTTTGTTTTTGTTTTTGAGATGGAGTCTCGCTCTGTCACCCAGGCTGGAGTGCAGTGGTGCGATCTCAGCTCATTACAAGCTCCGTCTCCCGGGTTCACGTCATTCTCCTGCCTCAGCCTCCCGAGTAGCTGGGACTACAGGTGCCTGCCACCACGCCCGGCTAATTTTTTGTATTTTTAGTAGAGACGGGGTTTCACTGTGTTAGCCAGGATGGTCTCGATCTCCTGACCTTGTGATCCACCCACCTCAGCCTCCCAAAGTGCTGGGATTACAGGCATGAGCCACCGTGCCCGGCCCCAAAAGTGAGCTCTTAATCATCAGGCTGGGATTTCCTCTGGCCTAAAATTTCACCAGACAGCACATGGTGTTAACATAGACTCAAGGCAGAATATTTTGTCTTCAAAACACTCTTGTGATATAAGGATTTTACTTGTTTTTGTTTTATTTTGAAGAAAGTGATTTCATTTAAAGTAGATCTGAGTTAGGTAAGAATAAAATTATTTATATGAAAAGAATTTTCTAACACATTAATCCATCAAACAAGGATTTATTCAGCACCCATGAGCTGAAAAGAAGTTTAAGGCAGTCCTTGACTTCAAGAAATTAATCATTTACTTAGGGAGCTAAGAGTAAAGCTTAAGGAATAAAATTAGAGGATAATAAACAGTAATAATAATCACCCCATATGTGAGTACTTACTGTGCCCAAGGGGCTTTACCGAGTCTAATTTAATCTTTACAACACAGCTGTGAGATATGTTCTGCTGTTATGCTCATTTCAGACGAGGAAACCAAGACTTGGTGAAGTGAAGTGATTTGGTCAAGGAAAAAAATCATTGAGCTGTTCACTTAAGATTTGTAGATTTAATATAAATGAGTTACGCTCTGATAAATCTTTATTGAATGGGAAACCCTTGAAAATACGGACATTTTTTGCTTTCTCTGCTCTTGAATTTCCTATTCCCCAATAATTTAGTGCAAAATGTTAAAGATGTATTTTGGCTTGTTTCATTTTAGGAAAATAGCAGGTCGGGTCAAAATGGCGCTTTTAGCCTTAATGGCTTGGGTGCAAATAGGCATAGCTTGTGACTGTGAAATCAGAGGTCCTGGGTTGCAGAGGGGTCCTGGAGCTGACACAGGCCAATGGGCCAGTACAACCTGCTTGGTTCCCCAGCTGCATGAACTGTTGGCCCCATGGTCAGTCCTGACCAGAAATGCACAAGGGTATTTGTCCCCTGGGTCCTCAAGGTCAGCTCCTCTGTCTCCCTCCAACACACCCCAAACCTTATCATATCCCTCAACCTCCTGACCCTGCCACCCATCTCTGCTTTTCAGGTTTGCAGGCCCCCACCCAGAGGCACCTTCATCATTCCTCCCTGACGTGTCGACTTTCATTTTCCTAGGACGAGTCTCATTTGACAGTCTCCTGCCCATATTTCTAAGCTCTCTGGGTCTCGTTGTGCTATTTCTCTGTCCTCTCTGGGGTTTGTAACACCAATCATCTGCAGGTTTCATTAGCATGCTGTTTACCCCTGTCTTTCAGATCATTAATGAAGATGTGAAGTGAGACACCAATCCTCACAGCCCCCACCACGTGCTCCCTCCCATGCCTGGCGCTGCTGGAGTCATTATCCTTCCTGGTGTGACAGGGTCAGAACCAAACCAATTTGCATCAGTCTTTGGTGATGTTGTGAAGCGTCGCCTGCCCTGCAATCCTGCTGCTGTAACAACTGCTTCAGCTGTCTGTTCTGGAGTGCTCTTCGCTCCTTTGGAAGACTGATCAGATCTGGCCACCCCAGTTCTGGCTGAAAGCCCTAGAGCGACCGCAATGGTAGGGCAGGATTCAGGGCTACACATGGCTGACATTGTTCCTTCTTCGTTTTGCTCTTCTGAGCTGGACAGAAAGCAGTCCCTCTTTGGAAAACAGGATGGACAAGTGCATACATTAGTGGAGGACGCAGCAGATGTGGCAGGCATAGAATTTTACTCATTGCTCCATCTATTTCTATCAAGGAAAATGGGGAGTGCTCCCAATTTCCGCCCATTTTCTAGCCCAGGCCTAGTCAGATGTGTGGGCTTGTATATTCTGGGAACCTGGGGCTGATGTGGTCAAGTCACTTCTTGGGGACAAGGTCAATTCTTCTCCATTTTCTCATGTCATTTGGTCCTGAGGGTTTTATATCTTCTTTAGCAATTCCATGACTATGCTTCTCATCCTGCAGGGAAACTGACTTTATATACACACTTGTCTCCCAATAAAAGTGAGAACCACCTCCTACATATCCCTTGTGTCTTCCAGACTCCAACTCAGATGAAATGCACTTCCTTCTCTTTCCTGATTGTGCAGCGCCTCCAACTGGTTGTTTGTGATGAAAACATGAGTATAATTACAGACTCTTCTCTGACCCATTTCTACTCCTGACCCCCAACTCATCTTTTCTTCCTTCTCTCCAATTGGGAAGGGGAAGGGAAGCAAGGAGAAAGTAGCGAAGGAAACTCTCGCAAACACATCTGAAGTAAGATGCTGCATGTCCAAGAGCTGGGGGAAACTTAACGCTACGACTCTACAGCAAAGTTAGGTGAGACATATTTTCTCAGGGTAGGTAAGGAAAGACTGAGGAAAAAGATAGCTATTTGGCAACACTGAACACCTACTGACTGAATGATTTTTTTCTGCTCCTGGGCAAAGGCTCTGAGGAGTGTGGGGAGAGATGGGACTGTCATGAATAGGGAACAAGTTTTTTTTTTCCACATTACATGCAATGAGGTAGAGATCCTAGGGTATAGCTGGATGCTTATTAGGTGCTCAGTAAACACTTATTGGTGTACAGATTGATATACATTTGCATACTAAAGAACAAATTTCATTACCATATACAAAGGTTATCGATGAACTATGTATGTATGCACATGTGTGCAGGATAACAGGCTGAGCTGAGAAGCAGGGCTTTTAAAATCTGTATATCCGGCCCCAGAGGCTTTTTTCTCCCTGTATTATAAAATCAATACCTGTTTCCGTAGAGAGTTTGGAAAATGTAGAAGAAAACAACAATACCCCATATTCCTCCAACCAGGCAGCAAGCACTATTACCACCTTCGCCTATTGCCTTCCATTCACCACCCCACTGTAATTGTTATATCTGGCCATTTCACTTATCCTTATGACAAAACCATTTCTTCCATGATATCATAACCTCTTTGCAAACACACCAAATGGCTGCATGGCAGTTCGCTACGGGAATGTACCATGATTTACTCAACAGCTGCACATCTGAACAGCCTTTGGGCCACTTGAAGGCAGAGGCAGCAGCAGCAGAGGTGGATGGCGGGAAGTAGGAGGCCAAGGTGAAGCAGCTCGCAGGACCTTGCTTCCCCATGAGCCCCCCGACCACCATTCCTCAGAGATCATTTCTGGTTCCAATCCTCACATATCCTTCATGGGTCCTGCCACAGCCAGCACTTCTCATTTCTACTCAGCCTCAAGTCACTGACTTTCCCAACTTGACTCTTCTCAGCTGCTCCTTTGTGTGAAGTCACTGGCTCAGGCCAGCTTGGCTCCTGGGGCTTGGCTGCGTCCAGAAAGGCCCTGGGATGTGACCTTCAGCCTCGCTTGACCCTGAGGCCTCAGGCTGCAGTCAGGCGAGGGTCTCTCCATGGGCTCCCAGAGAAGGCAAAGCCCAGAGGAGGCTGCTGCGGGAGCAGAAGCCTGAGTGGACCCTGCTTAGTCCTGGAAAGGGACCTGACAGGTTTGCGAGAACCTGACAAATCTCACACCATAGAAAACTATCTGGCCCAGGCACAGTGGCTCATCCCAATACTTTGGGAGGCGGAGGTGGGCGGATCACTTGAGCCCAGGAGTTCGAGACCAGCCTGGGCAACATGGCGAAACCCCATCTCTGCAAAAAATACAAAAATTAGCCAGATGTGGTGGCACGTGCTTGTGGTCCCAACTACTTTGGAGGCTGAGGCAGGAGGACTGCTTGAGCCCAGAAGGCAGAGGTTGCAGCGAGCTGAGATCGTGCCACTGCACTCTAGCCTTGGTGACAGAGGGAGACCCTGTCTCACCAAAAAAAGGAAGGAAGGAAGGGAGGGAGGGAGGGAGGCAGGGAGGGGGGAGGGGGAGGAGTGGGGGAAGGAGGGAAGGGAAGGGAAGGGAAAGGAAAAAGAAAACTATCTGGAGGAATGTGGAGGACTGGTGGGTTAGGGGTAGGAGGTTATGACTGAATCAAACAGGGAAGTGTGTTCCTGTGCAGTGATTGGAAAAGCATGGATGCTCAGAAAATACTAGGACTACAAAGATTAGCAAAGTACAGTGATTTGAGGCTTATGTATGCCAAGTTCAGTATCAGTTCAGAAACTTGCCAATGTCACAAAGTATACCTTTCCCTCCCTTGCTTAATGCCACTGTCTGTAGAGTCAACAATGGTTTCTACTGAGTGTCCATGCTGGCACAGGGCCTCAGTGGGTGGAAGGATGGGGGTAGGAGAAATAGTAAACTGTCAGCTCTTCTGAAGGGTTACAGAAATGGTATTCTGCTTAACTGACTAGTCAAGGTAACCAGAAGTTACTATATTTTCCCTATAGGGATTGCCAATGTTTTTTTTGTTTGTCGTTTGTTTTTGTGTGAGACAGTCTCACTCTGTCACCCAGTGTGGAGTGCAGTGGTGCAATCTCAGATCACTGCAACTTCTGCCTCCCAGGTTCAAGCAATTCCCTTCCCTCAGCCTCCTGAGTAGCTGGGAGTACAGGCACCTGCCACCCTGCACAGCTAAATTTTTTTGTATTTTTTCATTTTTTTTTTATAGTAGAGACGGGGTTTTGCCATGTTGGCCAGGCTGGTCTTGAACTCCTGACTTCAAGTGATCCACCCGCCTCAGCCTCCCAAAGTGCTGGGATTACAGGTGTGAGCCACCATGTCCGGCCTAGGGATTGTCAATTTTTAACAAATGTGAGTATAATAAAAAATTAAATACTACATGGAATCTGTTTTATAGATCTATCCATCAAGCAATTATATACGTAATGGGTAAGATATGCCATGCACCATTCTCAACACTTTGCAATACTCGTTTAATCTCTACAGCTACCCTAGTAGTTAGGTGCTATTTGCACCCAGGCAGCCTGACTTCAGAGCCTGTGCCCTTATCCATGATGCTGATATGACTCTTTAAAGTGGAAAAAGTCCTAAGGAAACCAAGGCTTAGAGAGAAGTAACTTACACAAGATCACCCCTGCCTCTCTCTCAAAATCCAAGCACTTACTATATCTTAGACCAGCAATGAGGCTATGAACACCGAATGTCAAGGCACAGTTCATTCTTTCAACAAATGCTTATTTTAGCACCTATTATGTGCCAGGTAGTTCTGTTTATAACCAAAGAAACTGTAGGAAATTGAACAAATTTGGATCAATTCTTTGGCATGTCCCAAAAGTTATTTTTAAAAGTCAAATCTTATCATTATCCTCTCTGTGCCTCAGAAAACTGAAGGTAGAAAAACAATGCAACTCTGATTACTTGAGTTTTTTGGCTCCTCAGATTCTACATAACTGAATCTCCTTTGGTATTGGAGGTCACTTTCAGAAACATCAGGTATAGAGATCGAGACAGAAAGCAGAGGGCAAGAGAGAGATGAAAATATGTGAGCCCAATTCTGCTCCGAACTTGGGTTTAATTGAGATTCCAACTGCCACTCTCCCCTGCATTCCTTTGTCCCTGGCTATGACCAAGTTTACGGCTGTATCGCCCCAAGTAATCCCCGTAATGGGCTGCAATCCTGGGGGAGCTGTTTTTGTTCATTAAGTGACCAACCTCTGAGCCACATGGAGCGCGGCCAGTTACAGCTTCTTGCCCTGGCAGATGGGCCACTTTTCTGTTTTAAAAAAACAGGGATCTTTCAGGAGAGAGGAGATAGTAGGCAGGGGTTGGGGACACAATCAGGGACATAAAGGTGATGGGTGCTAGAAATGAAGGCCAGAGTGAGGGGGGCAGTGGGTGCCCCTTCCAGGTCATGCAGTCTTCTAGGGCAGAATTCACTCACGTGCTGTGTGTTAGCTTTCTTTGCAATGGTAACTATAGTTGTGTAGGGCTTACAGTTTGTGAAGGGCTCAATGTAGTTCCTGGAGTGATGCTACCAGTCTGCAGAGGTGGGAGGAGTGAGGGGGCCATAGACAGGAGGCAGCGAATGAACAGAGTAGGGCAAATAGCTGAGAGGGGGCTTCCCCTGAGGGTCAGAAATTCTCAGTGCTTCAGACTCCAGCTCAAGTGACAGGGGCCAGGCTGTGCCAAGAGCAGTTCTCTCAAGCCAACTGACTCTTACCTCTCTGCCCACAGCCCCAGTGTCTGCTTCTTGAAGTTGGGGAAACATTGCAGCAGCTGCTTGTTGGGAGACCCGTCCCCTCACTGCACTGCCCCACCCCCTCCCCGCCACCTGCCCCACCACCCCATGTCTGTCCTCTGGGTAGAGTTGTGTGAAGCGGAAGACAATTTGGGGCTTATTAGTGTCCCAGGGAGACATGTAACTTGTGTTGCTGGGACCCAAACAGCAAGAGTCTTAGCGGCAAACTCCAGCCGAGAAAAGACTGAGGAATTGTCTCACCTAATTACAGGGAATGGCCCTCTTTGTGTTTGTGATTCGGTACGGTTGTCCGATCGCTTTTGATCGCTTTTCTCTATTTGCTGGCTCAGGCCATGCTGGAATTGTGCTAATTAGAAGAGAAATGGACAGAGTGATCCTGTCAGCCCTGGTTACTGGTGGGGACAAAGCAGAATATTATTCTGAGGCAGTGTTTTGTGAGGGCCCTTCTTCCAGCTCTCATTAGGAGGAAGGGGCCCACAGGAGGGGAAGGTTCCAAATGCCTGGCCCAGCTAATGGAGCACTGGGGTGTTTCTGTGCTAATTAACAGGCTTTGCCAGCACTCACGCCAACCAGGAGCCTCACAGTTACACCTGGTATCGTCTGAAGCCCCCAGCTGCTCGAGAGGAAAAAGCGCCAGGCAAAGGGTGGGAAGGCCAGTGGCCTCTTTAGGCATAGACAAGGACACACACCCCAAATGCCAAAAAGCCTACATAGATAGGAAAAATCAGTTCCAGTCCATCAGAACTTACAACCGTGGAGACACCACCCTTTGCCACTCTCTGGGGTTGGGGGTTGCAAGACTCTCTGGTGAAACAAAGCCCACATAGGGACCAGGTATCCTTGTAGCTCTCACGAGATGAAGAAAACAGAAAATGGAGAACATAACCAAATTCTTGGAGACGGAGTTAGTGCAGAAGCTGAGAACTGGTAAGAGACTGTGTTATTTGGCTTCTGCGACCATCCACCTTGGCCCAACTGTCCATTTCCTCACTTCCTGCTCTGCCTGTTCACCTTCTTGTGATGTCTTAATCCTGGAGGAAACAGGAGGGGTCAGGGAATCCCACTGGAAATGAAATTTCTCGGCTTCATTTCAAAGCTCCTGTGGAAGTCCAAACACACTTCTGAAGCCACAGGGACAAGGGAATGACTTTCATCAGTTCCATTTTCACTGCCTTGATCTGGGAGCATCCAGAAGAGCAGCTAGAGAACTAAAACCACGGAGCAGTTAGCAAGCATCCATTTAAAAAATATGACAAAAATGGAAAGATAAAAATGAATGATGGCATTTCAATATCAACACAATTAATACCCTGTGAACTTTAAGTGTTCTAACCTATGGAAGGCAGGCCAAGCAAATCAGCAGAGGCCTAGAATCTGTGAGACTGAAGACAGCAAGAAATAATGAGAGTGCTGGTAAGAAAAAAATGTCAATAAGAATTTGCAAATGTGTCTCCAAGCTCCAATACTATGCTTTTCAGAATGTTGCTGCTCACAGCTGACAGATGCTTTACAGGATGGTATTTGGAATGGCA
Source organism: Homo sapiens (assembly GCF_000001405.40). Taxonomy (NCBI): domain Eukaryota; kingdom Metazoa; phylum Chordata; class Mammalia; order Primates; family Hominidae; genus Homo; species Homo sapiens. The sequence continues at coordinate 74,202,606 of NC_000014.9, read as the reverse complement.
AAGGAAAAGGGAAAAAATATCTGTAGGCAAATAATAAACAATTACTTACCGTAAAAATAGTCTCTAAAGACTTAGAACACTCCTAACACTGTCCCTACTTAGTCAATCAGCCATGCTTTTCTAGATCACAGAAATCTACTGTTCATCCAGATGTCTTTTTTGGAAATAAATGATGGGCCTATGATGAGAAGCAATTTGCTTTCCTTAAAATGAAATGCTTTCTTTAAAAGGGCATATTCTGGTCCAGAGCAGGTAAACTATCAATGAGTGATAGCAGTAGCAATAATGAGTACTTCCTCTTTTCTAGTTCTTGAACATGGTTGAAAAGGAACCCACACTAAGGGATTTAGAAGATGGCAGATAAATACTTGTTTTCAATCTATCATGTGTAACCAGAAGCCTGCAAGCAAACAGGTTTTGAACCCCTAGTTCAAAGACACTGAAGAACTAGATGTGCAGGAGACAGCTATACCTTGAGAAGCTTTGAATTTAGTAGGGCAATAAGATATGTACTCAGTGTCAGGCGTAGTGGCTCACACCTGTAATCCCAGCACTTTGGGAGGCCGAGGCGGGAGGATCACTTGAGGCCAGGAGTTCGAGACCAGCCTGGCCAACTTGGCAAAAACCCGTCTCTACTAAAAATACAAAAATTAGCTGGGCGTGGTGGCATGCACCTGTAATCCCAGCTACTAGGGTGGCTGAGGCAGAGAATCGCTTGAACCCGGGAGGCAGAGGTTGCAGTGAGCCAAAATTGCACCACTGCACTCCAGCCTGGGCAACAGAGTGAGACTCTGTCTCAAAAAGAAAAAGTACTCAGACCACTTAAATATAAGGCAGACTATGGTAAGAGTCACAGGGATGATATGGGTAAATGCTATAGGAATGTAGGGGAAGGACCATTTCCAGCTGGATCATCAGGAGATTATAGGAAGCATAGGTTTGCCAGATGCAAAAGGGATCCAAGACCTTCTAGGAACTCAAAGGCAGGAGCAAAGGCACTCAAGTGAGAAACTGGGAACTGTTCAGAGTAACTGCAACAGAGACTTCATATATAGGAGAGGAAGAAAACGAAACGGAAGGGTTGCTTAGGATTACATGTAGAGAGTCTTAAAATGCCGGGTCAAGAGATTGAGACTTTATTAGTAGACACGGGAAGGTATTAAGGGTTTCTAAATACTACTTTCGGGTGTTGGGCAGTGGTAGGATAGAATGGAAGGCAGGAGACCAAGTAGATGACTGTAAAGCCCCCAACTATCCATTAAGTATATTAAGGGGGAAAACAGTAGATTATTTATCATTACAGTTGTACTTTCTGGGGAGGTCTGTGCTTTAAATATCCAACTCGGCCCTCTGAGGAAAAACTCACCCTCCTGTAAAAGGGACATATTTATTATGAAGACACAAAAACCATCACATACAAAGTACAATACTATAACATCCTGAAATACATATACACACATACTGTACATAAATTTATATTATCAATATAAAAATACATCATTAACATTTCTAAGGATGACAAATACTAAACCAATAAATATTGCAATTCTAAAACATCTACTTACATTAAGTGCTGGTGAATAGGATGACGGTAAAAGAAAGAGGACAAAGCGGACCAGAAAACCAACCACCTGGCTTCCAGTTACAGACTTGAGTTGGTTTGGGGGAGGTATCCCAATCAATTTCCCCAAACACTGAAAAGTGCCTGATGTCATCAACTCTCAAAAACAGAGCAAAGGAAGAATTTGACATTATGGCACTATTTTTTGGCCACATGCGCGCGCGCACACACACACACACACTCTTCAACCGCATTTAGTGAGATACAGAAATATCAATCGATAATAAGTTTAAATTAAAATCAAAGCCCCTACAACCTAACCTTCTATGTAGCACCCCAGCAGAATGTTTTACTTCTCATACTCATCTTTCCTATCTTGTGTTAAGTCTTTTTTCCTTTCAATAAGTAAAACTACATTGATGGTCAAATGAGAGAAAAATCCAGCATTAATTCTAGCATGAGAACAAGGCACAAATGTCAGAAAAGGTTTAATGGATCAGCTGTTAAACTGAAGAGTGCCATGCCCTAGCAAACACTCACGACTCAAAACCATAACTTTTCTTGTGTCCAAACACCATCAGACTATTGCCACAGGGATATTCTTTTTTTTTTTTTTTTTTTTTTTTTTTTTCTGAGACAGAGTCTCACTCTGTTGCCCAGGCTGGAGTGCAGTGGCATAATTTCGGCTCACTGCAACCTCCACCTCCCGAATTCAAGCGATTCTCGTGCCTCAGGCCCCCAAGTAGCTGGGACTATAGGCATGCACCATCATGCCCAGCTAATTTTTGTATTTTAGTAGAGACAGGGTTTCACCATATTGGCCAGGATGGTCTCGATCTTTTGACCTATGATCCACCTGCCTCGGCCTCCCAAAGTGCTGGGATTACAGGCGTGAGCCACCATGCCCGGCCCCAGGATATTCTTTTGTGCAAAGTTTAGGAAACTCCATGCACTTCTCAAAACATCAGATGCTGGGGACTGGCTTATACAAGAAATATGGAGAACACATATAATAGATTTTAGCCATGGGCTAGATTTTCAGATTTTAACAGAGACAGATAAGTGGTGAAGAACTCCATGAAAGTTGTATTTAAGTCAGAAGATTCTTTTTCGTGTGTGTGCGTTTCTATTATATAGATGAACTATTTCATATGTGCTGTCAGAGGGGACAATCCCACCATCCCATAGCATGTTACTTTAAGGTCAATTAGGGCTTCTAGCTTTCAACCAAATGGGAACTCCTATAAACCATCCCGTTTCTCTTGTCTTTCAGGCTATACTGACTTTCTTGCTTGAAGCTGTAACAGATTAATTAGAACTCAAAAGTCCTTTCTGTCACCTTCACATTGGTCTTTAGACAACCTTGGATGGGCCTTTCACTATACAAGCTAATTCCAGGAGGGACTCAGGGATCCCTCTGCCCGAAGTCAGAACTAGAAGGTGGGGCTGGGAAGTAAGGAATGAAAAGCAAATGGGACTATCATAAGAGGTATAGAAGTTTTAAAAAACAGATATACATTTCGAGAAGATTCTGGTTTCTTCAGCTGGGGATTCTGGGAACTTAGTATATACTGGAGAGTTCACAGGTCAGGCTGCATGGTCTGGTCCAGAATCTACTTGGTCTCTGGTCTCCTCACATCGTAAACACTTTCTAAGAGATCAAGAACAATTCAAAAGAACCCATCCAATCAACATGTCACAACTGACTGCCATGACTGAGTCAAATCAACCGTAAGATCCTGGGGCTCCTGAATCACTTCCAGAAATGAGAAAGCAGGACTTCGACCTTTAAGAATGATATGCCCTCAGCTGTTACCAATATCCGAGGCTAAGAAGGTTCAAGTCTGAAAGTTGATTGAGTAACTGCAATGATCCTTGGGTAGAGCAGATTCTTCTCTTGCTGCTGAATGTCCTCAGACGTGTAGAGTGCCAGGAGCAGGGGAGAGGGCAGTCCTGGAGGTACACCCTCTGGCCTCTCCCAAGCAAGCAGTGAGGTGTGCATTGTTAGAGGTGCACCGGGAAGGGAGCTTGGTTTCGGACCCCAGGACATCCTGTCCGCAAGCAGCTGCTACTTCTTGGGCTTCTCTAGAATATTGAGGAATTTCCCCCGTGTCATCTCTCTGGCTGGAATCACAAAGCAAACAAATGATCAATGAAAACCTAAAATCGGAAAAAAGAATCATAGGAAGATTTAATTTAAAAATGCAGATTGATTTAAATTATATATCAAGTTGCTATCACAACAGATTCAATCATCACCAACTAACCTAAAAGGGGGTAAAAACAAACCACTATAGACAACTAAAACTGTACAAAGCTATTCTGAAGTTGGCAATTGAGATACATGCCAAATGACTGGGAAAGATTTTATCATCCACCTTTAAACAAATCACCAGGGGATTCCCCCAAAACCTATCTCTGTCTCTAGAATCTAACCTAATACTCATGTTCACTATCTCAGGGGGTTTGCTCTTGAAGCCTAAAATCCAACCAAGATTAGTCTTCTCTGGGTTGCTGGTCTCTGGACATTTATAATCTCAAATCAAAATTAGAGATCATTTACCCTATCTCTCAGCAGTGTTAGTCCCTGGATACTGTAATATAACAGGGTTTATATTCCCTCAGTGCAGTTCATCTGTGGATGGTGTCATAAAGTAGGGTTTATAGAGCTTTGGTCTTCTCTCCCTTGGCATTGTCAGTCCTTAGCTATTTAATATAGCCAGCCAAGGTTTATGTGTCTTTCTCCGGCTTTCAGCACCATCAATCTTTGAATGCTATAGTTACAAGTGGGTTTATACAGCTACTTTCCTACATATAAGGCTCCAAAATGAAAGTAAAACATTTCTCAATTACAAGGGCTACTCCAGAGGTCTCCCATTTTAGATCTCAGAAAGCATACGTAGTGTAACAGCCCCTTCCTCATCCTCATCCTCATCCTGCAAGGCCATGTTTTCAGATTTCTTAAATGGATTTAACAGTGCAGAAAGTTTCTGATCGCTGATGGCTGGCTCTGGAAGCCAGGCCTTCTGGAACCATGCAGTAGGCACGGGGTAGGCTGTGTGGTCTCCCAAGAACACATCTCCGTCCTGGCCAAAGAAGTGAGGTGGCTAGGGAGGCACTCTCAGGAATGAGAAGGACCTTCACCCTGGCCTCCTTGTTGCCTTTCCCAAGTCCAGAGCAAATGGAGCTAGATGAATGGCCTCCAGCTCCCCTCTGCCCCAATTTAAGTTTAACAGTTTCTTGTTTTCTTGTACAATGAAGAAATAAAAACTACACAACCTCTGGGACCACAGGGAGGCTTTTGTAACTTCAGTCTATACATTCCCCATCTTTCACTAGTTCCTGTGCCCCAACAAAGGGAAAGGAAATTCCATTAACTAGGCATAGAAGCCCAGTGTTGGGTCTTGCCTCATGTGCTCACAACCCCAACCCAGACCAAATCAAACAGACCATTCCTTCCTTCATGGATTTACAGCAAATCCTGTACAAGAAAGTTCCCATAAGACTTGCATGCAATTACTAGCTTATATGGTTGTCTTCCTCCACTAAAATGTAAAAACTGAAGGCAGAGACTGTTAAGAGCTTTGGTCTTCTCTCCCTTGGCAAAAGATCCACAATCAGATCCAAACTCCAGAGCACGTGCTCTCCTGTTCACTTGTCATCAGAGATGTTAACATTTCTGATTAATTCATATAGCCCTTATTTTATTCCTCATTTCTTTATCCTTGCTCTGCTGCACTGCGAAGATTCTTACCGACCTGCTACAGACTCAGCAGACCTAGTGTCTGCTGAGTAAGTGTTGACTGGATAAATTATAATACACCAAAGAACTAGAACCAAGTAGAAATGCAAAAAATGTTAGTTTCCTTCCTTTCCATTAACAAATATGACTAGTTAGTGGCCCTCAGTGCTCCATTCTCTACATGATGGGAGTCTTTTTAAATGTGCCTTGCTTATTTGGCAAGAAAATCATTTCCCTTAATGCAAATAATGCCAAGTTCATGGAGAGACTGGGGTCAAGGACTAACTACTCTAGAGAAAATCCAATCAAGTACTGTCTTGCCCATAGGAGGTAGCATGGGCTTCTTGCAGAGAACACAGGATTTGAACTCAGTTTAAGTTTCAGCTCTAGCACTTAGCAGCAGGGTGACACCTTGGGCTGGGCAGATCTCTGAGCCTCAGTCTCTTCATTTGTAACGGAGAGCATGTTAATACCCTACTTTTCTCTTGGATATTAGCAATGAACATGCTTGGTATAGTGCTAATCATTAACACAACACTTTCCAGAGGGGGGTAAGTTCTCTCGCACTTAGTATTTTCTGAGTGAGTGAATGAATGAATGAATGAATGAACAAACTGCACAAAGGGAGGCTAGCAAACAAAACTCCGTTCCTTGGAATCTTTTCCCTCAGCTTGAAGGAAAAGAAATTTACTTATACTTTTGGGCAGATTGGGTCTCACTTATTTCTACTAGATGGGTTATCTGTCTACTCTCAAGTTTAAACATGTAACTAATGATCCTGCAACATGGCTAGAAGCAGGAGCTCTGGAAACCAGACACGGTCAATACAAAAGTCTTCTGGAGAGAATAGAGCCTTGTTCCAAAAATCCTGGGCCTGGAGCACTGCATTGCTCTAACCAATGATTTCTGCCTGCTGACCTTCAGACTCACCAACTCCTTACTGTTTTTCCCCAAATGGGAAAATGACCAATATTTTAAGACTTAGAATTTTAAAAGATCCACACAATTTAAGGGGTCAAAAGGGTTTAAAAGGAAAAATAAATAGATATTCTGAAGTCTCTCAGTGGCAAGCTCTCCTTGAATTTAACCAATCCTTTTTAACAACCCTTTTTCTACTCAATCATTCCTCCCCCTTCAACCTAATCCAAGTACACAGAGCTGCAGGAAACCACTGTAAAAGTAGAAGTAATTCAAAAGACATCATCTCCTACATGGGAGGAGAGAAAGTTTTCCTACTCGCCAGTCCCATACAGGAGATATACGAATGTATGACACAGCCGCTCCCTAAAAGAGGGCTGTGCCCTATAAATCAGATGCTAAGCACCAACCCCTTTTTGTGCACAGAGAAATTGCTGTGGGTCAGGGGCTGCTCCAGAGCACGTGCCCTCCTGTTCACTTGTCATCAGAGATGTTAACATTTCTGATTAATTCATATAGCCCTTATTTTATTCCTCATTTCTTTATCCTTGCTCTGCTGCAGGGCGAAGATTCTTACCGACCTGCTACAGTAATCACCGCCCGCTAACCGAACCCCCCCAAACCTAGTGAAATTGTTTAGTGATGCCAACTGCGCTTTTAATTTGCAAGACATCAGACACAGAGGTAATTTATACTAACATCTGTTCATTTTTGACTTCTGAAACAAACTTGCACATACTGCTACAAAATCCCATTAGGAGTAGGGAGACAGCCTTCTGCTACTATTCTGTATTCCTCGTCTACACGCGCACACACACACACACACACATACACACACACACCCACACACACCTCTTCTAGTAGGGTCTTATAAATAAATGTATTTTACTCTTAGCTTTTTAAGCTCCCATCAGGAATTTCAAATCTCTTTGGGGAAAAATCTTTAGAGATGACTACTGCCTGCTTACAGAGAAGAGAAAGCCATTTCTATTCCCCACTGCCTGGTTCTGTCCCTTCTTCTTCACAATGGTTGTAGCTTGGTATAATTCTAGGATGAATGGCCAGAGTAAGACTACATGTTCTTCAGCTTGGCACTCCCAGTTCCTCCATTTTCTCCTTTTTCTTTGTTCCCCATAATGTATTATATTATATAGAAAACAATTCTAGACACAACAAGATTGGGAGAGAGAGAGTGTTATATAGAGTCAGTGAAATCTGTCAACTATTTTCTTTTTTTTTGAAACAGAGTCTCGCTCTTGTTGCCCAGGTTGGAGTGCAATGTTGCAATCTCAGCTCACTGCAACCTCTGCCTCCCCGGTTCAAGTGATTCTCCTGCCACAGTCTCTCAAGTAGCTGGGATTACAAGCATGCACCACCACACTTGGCTAATTCTTTGTATTTTTGGTACAGACAGGTTTTCACCATGTTGGCCAGGCTGGTCTCGGACTCCTGACCTCAGTTGATCTGCCCGCCTTGGCCTCCCAAAGTGCTAGGATTATAGGCATGAGCCACCTCGCCCAGCCTGTCAACTATTTTTTTGATTCTGGATTTATTCTCTAAGATTACAAGGTTTCACAGGAAGGCAACACCGCTTCCATTCTAATAACTATGCCAAGAGGGGCCCACTGGTCATCAGCTACTGGTGTATGCCGTGCAGGAGAGAAGCATGACCCCTATGTCAAGTCATGATTTACAGGCCCTATTATGTCGTACATAGATCACAAATTGAGAAAGCCACAATTGAAACTGTCACTATAGGGTTAACATGTGAAATGCTGCAGAGTGTGGAGAGGGGACTGGCTACTACACACTGAGAGACAGCAAATGGATAGACTACAATCAACTTTCAGGTTTCCACTGTTTCTGTTATCCCCCACCACTTTCGTAGTTCCTCCAGGGCTATCCAGTTCATGGCAGCTGTAAATACCTGGGTATACTTGGAGAGGTCAGGGCTGAAAGGAGGACTCCACTGTGCCTGCTCTGAAAGTGGTGTGTGGTTTAATATAATCTCTTCTTTAGACTCTCCAATTCCTCCATCCTACATTTAGCCTTGCTTCTGGCTCACTTTCCACGATAACTATCCCCAAACTGCCTTCTCTGCAGTAAATTTTTCTGGTGGCTGGTTGAAAAAGATTCAGTGGTACAGATTGATTTCTCACTGGTGAGGGATGAGGGATTACCAGAGGCACCCTGGTTAACGAGATTGGGTGCAGAACCTCTCTCAAGACCAGCCCTCTCTGCCAGGGCTCTGCACCTTTCCCCAATGACATATGGGTTTTATTACAGAAAGATTGTCCAGATTATAACTTTGAGGCAATTGCCTGATAAAATTCTGCTCAGCTTTTATGTAGGGAACAATGTAAATTTTAAGAAACTTTTTAATGAAGTGGAAGAAACTCATAGTTCAGTTTTTCAATTCCAATGCAAACTACTTTAAATATTTCTATGCCTCAACATAATTAAAAATGTTTGTGAAGCGGGGACAAATTACTTTCCACTGGGTTTCTCATATTCAGAAGAGCAATAACAGGTTGCTTTTAGGAGATTGTAATATGAGTGGCCAGGAAACAAAGGAGACAATGTAATATTGTGAAAAGAGCAGGACTTCAGCTCTTACATTGACCCTGGGCCACATAGGCAAATTACCAAGTTATTTTTCTGAGCTCCTTTCCTCATTCATTCAAGGTAGGATTAATACAAAGTCACACAGGCATTCAATAAATGCTAGCTACTGTAAAACTATTTGTTTCATTTCAAACAGAAAGTTTACTTAAGCAATAGGATGCCTGGTGGGAAAACTATCTAAGATTCATTTCTTTTAGAGTAACTTATCCCTACTTAAAGACATATTGCCCTACATGTAACAGCTATGTACAAGAGTTTAAAAACTGGTTGGTTTTAGAATGACACGTGAAAAACACCAAAATTCTCAAATTTAACAAGGTATGGAAGGATTTTTTTTTTTTTTATAAGAGACAAGGTCTCGTTCTGTCACCCAGGCTGGAGTGCAGTGGTGCAGCCATAGCTCACTGCAGCCTCAACCTCCTGGACTCAAGTGATCCTCCTGCCTCAGCCTCCTAAGTAGTTGTGACTACAGGCATGCAATACCTGGCTAATTTTTTTCTTTTTTTTTTTTTTGTGGAGACAGGATCTTGAACTACTAGCTTCAAGCATGGAAGGATTTTTTGTTATTGATTTTTATTAAATGATGAGGCAAAATAACTTAATGAAGTATAAAGATAAGAGCTGAATGAGCATGCCACTAATGGAGAAAGGGGGCATTGCCACAGAATCAGTATTTATCCCCATCTTATCTCCATCTGATGTTGATCAAAACATATCATTGGCCATTTAGTTTAAAAATAAAAAGGTAATATGCTTGTGCACAAATGCCAGTCACTTTATGCACAGTAAAGGAATGAGAAAGGGGTACACGAAAGGACAAAAAAAACCCTACACTTTTGTAGTCAGGATGGAATTCAACGGAGTTGTAGTTTTCTGAGAATGTATTCCTGGTCTGTGGGAATGGAGTTCTGCAGTAAAGAGCAGGTTCCCTTTGTAGTAGACACCTCCTGTCTGCTGCTGGAACATATCAATTGTATCCTCATTTCCAACTGTGCAGGTGTGTCTGTCTCATTAATTGGCTGCCCATCAAATTGGAATCTGATCTGCCTCATTGATATACTGTTGTTCACAACGAGCTTTCATTAGTCTACCAAGTGGTGTATGCCTCTTAATCTTAGACTGCACCACTGAACTATCCTACCCCTCCACCTTCAAATTAATATGACCACTGTTGGCTGGGCATGGTGGCTCATGCCTGTAATCCCAGCACTTTGGGAGGCCAAGGCAGGCGGACTACCTGAGGGGTCAGGAGTTCGAGACCAGCCTGGCCAACATGGTGAAACCTCATCTCTACTAAAAATACAAAAATTAGCTGGGCGTGGGGGCATGTGCCTGTAGTCCCAGCTACTCGGGAGGCTGAGGCAGGAGAATCGCTTGAACCCAGGAGGCAGAGGTTGCAGTGAGCCGAGATCATGCGACTGTAATCCAGCCTGGTCAACGGAGTGAGACTCTGTCTCAAAAAACAAAAAACAAAAACAAAAACAAAAAACAACCACTGTTCTCAGTCTTGCTTCCTTCCTTGGCCTTCTTGTCAGTCATGGTAAGCCGTGGAGTCTCCTTAGCTGCTGCTTTACAGGAGGTACCAGATCTACACCAAGTAAGCACATACATAGCACCAGGAGTGACAAAAGACCTATTTATTTCTAAAAAGATCTTCCAATGCAAGATAAATGGTAACACAAATGACTTGCATCTGTGTGAATGAAGGCATACTGTGGTGTATTAAGCCTGGCTGGAGTAATGTCGGGTACTAGGTGGAGCTACCTTCTTTAACTATACCAGTAGATACTTCTAGCCAAAAGGAACACATAAAATCCCAGTTTAGTGGCCGGGCGCGGTGGCTCACGCCTGTAATCCCAGCACTTTGGAAGGCCGAGGTGGGCAGATCACGAGGTCAGGAGATCGTGACCATCCTGGCTAACACGGTGAAACTCCATCTCTACTAAAAATACAAAAAAAATTAGCCAGGCGTGGTGGTGGGTGCCTGTAGTCCCAGCTACTGGGGAGGCTGAGGCAGGAGAATGGCGTGAACCCGGGAGGCGGAGCTTGCAGTGAGTCGAGATTGCACCACTGCACTCCGGCCTGGACGACAGAGCAAGGCTCCATCTCAAAAAAAAAAAAAAGAAAGAAAGAAAAAAACCCCAGTTTAGTTTAAATCAATGTGCTAAAGGCTGTTTATTTAATTGGCCTCATAAAAGATGTTTTTACAGAAATGATGCCATTTGTTATAGTTATAGTTTTGACTCTTCTTTTAAAATTACTTTTTTGGTCCCTGAAATCTTGAATGTATTCTATCTTGAATGTATTCTAACAGCTATGACAAAAGGGACCTGCTGATCAGTTATCAGTGTGTGCTGTGCAGAAAAGAAGCATGGAGGGGGTGGTGAAGAGTGAAGGCAGTCACATGGAGCACACACTATGTACTAGATATTAGGAAGATTCAAATAAAGTCAAAGACATGCTTTCCCACAGAAAGAGACTATTCTCAAAGGCAATGCTGCCTTTGAGATGGAGCTAGCTGTTGTTAACAGGTATTCTGGTGGATTGGCAGAGAACAAAAAGAGAGCAATGTGATTTATAATGCTGATTTCTGTCTCGCAGGAATGTGCAACGTTTCCCTGTGGCTCTGGCGCAGAGCTGGTGTACAGCAGAGCAGTTCCAGGGCAGTCTGCCAGACTGACTCTTCACCACACTCCAGCTCAGTGTCAGATCTCCACAGGAAAAGTATCACTAAGTGATCAATAAGTCAAGGACTAAGCACTTTTTAATGCCTCTGATATGAGAGCAGCTGGTGCTGGAGTCACTGTCAAGAGCAGAAGGAGCTGTGAAGAGCACACAGTGTCACTGGATGAGGACGGGTCTTTTGGAGCTTCATCCCATTAGGACACTTGGTGGCCCTCAGCAGGTGGTGTAACTGTAATAAGGTCCACTGATTGTTCTCCGTCCACTCTTGTGGAGAAGTATACACTAGCAACAGTCTTTGGTGTAAATCTTACTTCTCTCTAAAATATATAAAAGTAGCATTTGAAGGTCGGCAGCCTTGAGGCTTTTGCCTAAAGTTCTTTAGGTGGCCAGGCATGGTGGCTCAGATCTATAATCCCAGCACTTTGGGAGGTCGAGACAGCCAGATCACTTGAGGTCAGGAGTTTGAGACCAGCCTGGGCAGCATGGTGGAACCCCATCTCTAGTAAAAATACAAAAATTAGCTAGGCATGGTGGCACATGCTTGTAATCCCAGCTACTTGGGAGGCTGAAGGGGGAGGATTGCTTGAATCTGGGAGGCGGAGGTTGCAGTGAGCTGAGATCGCACCAGTGTACTCAAGCCTGGGTGACAGGGTAAGACTCTGTCTCAAAAAAAAAAAAAAAAAAAAGTTATTTAGGCATAATAAAACATTTCAAAAAGGAGACTAAAATACTATATACCTGAGAAAAGAACAGTCTGGATCAAACTATCACAGACTATCAAAATTTTTGTCCTCAGTGTTCTCAAAAAAATCTTTTTGGGAGCACACTTTCTAGATTATCTTTCTATTGGGTATCTTGGCTCTTTATCAGGATTCTTCCAAAAGCGTGCAGTGGCCAAGAACAATGTTCCCTCCAGTGACTGCTGAGAAAGAAAATTTTATTATTTATTTTACTTTATAACTTTAATTTTTTGTAGATATGGGGTCTTGCTATGTTGAACTGGTCTTGAACTCTTGGCCTCAAGCAATCCTCTTGCCTCAGTCTCCCAAAGTGCTGGGATTACAGGCATGAGCCACCATGCCCAGCCTGAGAAAGATAATTTTATATCAAACTTTTTTTCTTCAATTCATAGTAACACCCATTTGCAGACAGTGTTTTATCCAAGAAGTAATATGAAAAAGAAAAGCCAGGACTCAATGTGCAGGTAAACAAATTTGGACAGTTCCAATATGGAAAATAATTTTAATGGCTTTTCATAACAGAAAAAAAAGGACAGAAATATCCAACCAACAGATTTATTTTCAGAATATAAAACATCAAGCAGGAACATAAAATATGGGAAGTGTCAGCCATGATGCCTGATGATTGAAGGCAGAAGTAGAAGAATCTTAATTGTCAGGCATTTGAAAAATGTTGCATTCAAGTGAAAGACTGTTTCTCCATCAACTCTCCTTGCTCTGCCCTCTTTTAAGAGCAAAACAAGACTAGATTTCAAATATGTATTCTTATCATCCTTCTTCCTACTAGAAACAAACCAAAACAACAGCAAAAAACCCCCAAAGATCTGTGTTCGAGAAATGAGAGCTAACAACTTCTTAGCTGCACTTTGTTTCCTTTTCTGAGGACCTGACAGGTCTATTTCATAGTTTTACTTGGTTTCCTTTTCAAGGGTACAACTCAATTGAATGAAAGGCAATGAGATCAGAGCAATGAATTAATACTCTGGGGGCTAGAACTTTTATTAAATACTCATAAATTTGTGCAGAACATTCATGCTTCAGGGCCTTTACATAGTAATACATCCTGGTGAAACACTTATTATGACCAAAGGCTAGTAGCTTCACAGACTTAATATCCTCATCCATAAAGTAAGAACAGCAATAATAATCTATCATGTAAGGTTAAGATAGAAGAACAACAACTAGTCAAAGTGACTTGATCAGAACACAAAATATTTTGCCCCAAGTTAGACAGAGTAGCTTATTCATAGGCTAGGTTCCACTCTCAGGAAAATCAGACCAGGATCACAGTATAGATAATTTCAAATGACCTGCATATTCAGACAACTTTCCTGCCCTGTCTATCTGACTTCAAGGGGCTGGCAGCTGGCAACAGCTAACGTCTAGGGATGATGAAGGCCTAGTCTTCTTGACCCCCAGGGAAGGGAAAGGGTTACATCTTCACACTGAGAAGCCAATAAAAACCTCTCTTGATTATAATTTAGATAAGAACCACTGGATTGAATAATAATGTCTGAAACTCCCCTGGCTGTTTCACCTTGAGACGTCCATCACTGGGTTAAACATGATGCTAATTGCATTTGGATTGATTAATTTCTCTCACTCCTGTCTATTCGAATAACGCTTAACAAAATAATCATAGCACCCAGAGCCAAATCTTTCCCGTCAAAGGAATGAAGCCACCAGAACAGGCAGAGATGAAAGAAATGAAGATGACCCGTAATTACTGCTACGGTGATATCATTACCATATTATACAAAATGAGTGTGGGGGGAAACGGGGGTGGAGGGAGGAGGGGCTGAGATTATTTATTTTTTTTAATGGAACCCTACAACCTAAGAATACAGATTTGACATCAAGTGGAACACACAGAAATATAGAACTTTTTAAAAAAATACAAATCTTCCTCATGAAATTATAAAATCCAACAAACACTGAGGCCCAAGATACATCAAATGTCTTGGGCTGTGAGCGGGTATTATTCACGCCACTATTTTTTCATCGCAATAACACTTTGTGTATGACTTGCATCGAGATTTAAGATGCTGTCTTCATACCACAAGCATTCCCATGGTTATTGGAGAATTTTTCTTTAAGCCAGGGAATAATATCATTTTATTTTAATATTGTTAGGGGTGGCCTTGTTTGTAAAATTACAATCTGGGTTTTAACTGCAGCTAGTTCTAGTTTAAAGCACATACAAAAAATCTCTATGAATTTTTGTGTATGGTTCATTGGACATTATGGATTTAATTTAAAATACTAGTGAGGACAAATATAATATTTCCCTATAAACTATTTTGTTGTTTAATAGAAACTTTTAATACTTATGACAGAAAACCTATGATCGTAAGGGATTTAAATCTACCTTAGGTGTAAATCCATCACGTATTAGTGATCTCAGATGAATTATGTAGGCTCTCCATGCCTCAGTTCCTTCCTCTGTTAAGTGGGGATTGGTATCTACCTTACTGAGTTATTGTGAGCCTTAAAGATAATACAGTTAAGTGCTCAGTAAGTGCTGGCACAAGAAAAAAATTTTCCCCTAAGATTAACTTTATGGCTATTTACAGAACCCTGTACAATGTTTTTGCTATTACATTTACAAAAGTTAATTCAACCGACACTTGTAAAGTAACGTGCACACAGATGTTAACAAATATTTGTGAAATAAATAAATAGGACACTTAGAAGGCACATAATTTGAAAAGGCTAGAAATACCTGTAAGATATTTTTGCTGTGGTATTTTAAAAGTAGAACCATCATTAAATAAAAAAACAATAAAAATGGATAATGAAGTTGTTTTATTTAGCTTGGACAAAAAGGCATATTCCTCTATTTTCTTGTACAACAAATATCCCCAAAATAAAGCAAGCATATATATTTTGAATGTGTAATAATCCAGTGATAAACAAGAGCAGTACTTTAAAAGAAAAAAAAATATGTATTTCTGTCAGGTTAAAATGAGAATCAAAACCATTTACTCTGCTAACTCATTATTTTTTGCTTTCTTTTTGGTTAAGAGAGGCAATGCAATACACTGAAAAAGGTTTTTATCTTATCTGGCATTGGAATTAGACATATTCAAACCCCAGCCCCCATTTCCAAACTTTAAGACCACAAACAAGTAATTTACTTTTCTGAACATTGGTTTTTTCTGTAAAATGGGAATTATAAAATAGACTTTGCAGACTCTTATGAGATTAAATAAGATAATGTATGAAATTCTTTCTTCTTTTTTACTTTTTTTTCTTTTTTGAGATGGAGTCTCACCCCGTCACCCAGGCTGGAGTACAGTGGTGCAATCTTGGCTCACTGCAACCTCTACCTCCCATTCAAGTGATTCTTGTGTCTCAGACTTCGGAGTAGCTCAGACTAAAGGCATGTGCCATAACGCCCGGCTAATATTTGTATTTTCAGGAGAGATGGGGTTTCACCATGTTGGCCAGGCTGGTCTTGAACTCCTGGCCTCCAGTGATGCAACAGCCTTGGCCTCCCAAAGTACTGGGATTACAGGCATGAACCACCATGCCTGGCCAAAAATCTCCTGACCTTGTGATCCGCCTGCCTCGGCCTCCCAAAGTGCTAGATTACAGGCGTGAGCCACCACGCCTGGCCTTCAGGTGCTTTCTTGAATATCAACCTATTTACTTCCTTTACAGCACTTAACAAAATCTGAAATTAACTTTTTGTTCCCCCTGAGACAGGGTCTTGCTCTGTTGCCCAGCCTGGAGAGTAGTGGCACAATCTTGGCTCACTGCAGCCTTGAACTCCTGGGCTCAAGTGATCCACCTGCCTCAGCCTCCCAAAGTGCTGGGATTAAAGGTGTGAGCAACCATGCCTGGCCTTGAAATTAACTTTGTTTATTTACTTTCATGCTCCATGAAGTTCTGCAGAACCTCTTGCTGTATCCCCAGCAATTAGAACAATACCAAGCATATGGTAGGTGATCAACAATCTGTTGAAATAATATATTCATATATGAGGAAAGAGGAACTCTATTTCCTTTTCAGTTTTTTGTTTGTTTGTTTGTTTGTTTTTTTGAGACAGAGTCTCACTCTGTCACCCAGGCTGGAGTGCAGTGGCACCATCTTGGCTCACTGCAGCCTCCGCCTCCTGGGTTCAAGCGATTCTCCCGCCTCAGCCTTCCCAAGTAGCTGGGATTACAGGTGTGAGCCACCATGCCTGGCTAATTTTTTGTGTTTTTTCGTAGA
The DNA here is from genome assembly GCF_000001405.40 of Homo sapiens. Taxonomy (NCBI): domain Eukaryota; kingdom Metazoa; phylum Chordata; class Mammalia; order Primates; family Hominidae; genus Homo; species Homo sapiens. The sequence goes on along the minus strand of NC_000014.9, from coordinate 74,186,120 downwards.
GATGGGGTTTCATCATGTTGGCCAGGATGGTCTCGAACTCCTGATCTCAAGTGATCCAGCCACCTCGGCTTCCCAAAGTGCTGTGATTACAAGCATGAGCCACTGTGCCCGGCCTCAGTTCTTAATTAAACACTGAGCATCAAATATTTTTGTTTAAGTAAAATTACATATGCATTTTACCCTTTAACCCAGAAATTCCACTTTAGAGTTACTCACATGCCTATTCAGTTCAGTACTATTTGTAATAACTGAAGATGAGAAACAACTCAAATATCCATCAATAGGGAGAGGGATGATCGTGTCACTACACTCCAGCCTGAGCAATAGAGTGAGACCCTGTCTCAAAAATAAATAAATAAATGAAATAGAAAGAAACCTTAAGCTGCATCCAGGGGTCTTGTTGTTATATGTAGTTAGTTATTTTGAAGTAACTTTTATTGTAGGTTAAATAAAATAATTATGTTAGTTATTAGGAACCAAGATTTTCAGCATTAAAAAAGAAATCACTGGCTGGGCGCGGTGGCTCATGCCTGTAATCCCAGCACTTTCGGAGGCCGAGGCAGGCAGATCACGAGGTCAGGAGATTGAGACCATCCGGGCTAACATGGTGAAACCCCGTCTCTACTAAAAATACAAAAAATTAGCCAGATGTGGTGGCGGAGCCTGTAGTCCCAGCTAACCGGGAGGCTGAGGCAGGAGAATGGCGTGAACCCAGGAAGTGGAGCTTGCAGTGAGCTGAGATTAAGCCACTGCACTCCAGCCTGGGTGACAGAGCAAGACTCCATCTCAAAAAAAAAAAAAAAAAAAAAAAGAAATCATTATAAAATCAAATATATTACATAAAAACCCCCAATCCCCAAATATTTTAAATTTGAACTGGCTGCATTATTGGTAAGAATACAATTCCTTTTTGTCTTTTCACTAAAACCATATTTACCTACCCTGTTCATAGAACAGGCCTAGAGACAATGACAGTCTCTTAACAATGAGTACTATTAGTGCCTAGATTTCTACTAAAAGAAACCAGGGTTCCTTGGAGAAATGGATAAGATTCCAAATCTGGAGAAGTAAGTGAACCAGGGATATCCTGACATGCCTGAAAGCAAGAAGGTTATCAAGGTTACTAGGGTCTTCCATGTTTCAGTCTAACAAAAAATAAGAAAAAATTTTTAAAAAGAAGAAAAAATAAATAAAAAAGAAAAAAGATGTACTAGGGTCATGTCAAAAGACAGGAGCCAACTTGAAGGGGCACCCACTAAAGATGGGACCATTTTGAAGAAAAAAAGAATAATGATTGTAATAGATCTAAATACAACAAATACAAACATCTATGATATTTTAAAAAAGTCCTCAGTCACTTCAACTCATTCTGAAAATTGACAGATGAAAAGAGGAAAAATTTAACATTTTTTCTGCCATTCTTCTTTGAACTGTATTTCAGGGAAGCCAAACAGTTGCCGATTTAATAGAATAATAAATGTTATTATCATTACCGTTATTATTTTGAAAATAATATGACTGATACCACCCAAAGCCACTGATCTTCACTCAAACTGGAACAGACAGATGTCATGTCAGTCTTGATGTGAAGGAACAGGGAGCACACAGTACCATTATGAAGCATTCTTGCCAAAAAGACTGAATCCAAACCCAATCCATTATCTAGCTCTATCAGCTTACAGGAAATTTGGCGGGAAAGAAGAACATGTTAAATGACATCACTAGGATAAAATTATCCAAACTTAAAATGTGGGGGCCGGGTGTGGTGGCTCACGCCTGTAATCCCACCAACTTGGGAAGCCAAGGTGGGTGGATCGCTTGAGCGCAGCCCAGGCAACATGGAGAAATCCCATCTCCACAAAAAATACAAAAATTAGCCAGGCGTGGTGGCATGTGCCTGTGGTCCCAGCTACTTGGGAGGCTGAGGTGGGAGGATCACTTGAGCCCAGGATGTCAAGGCTACTGTGAGTGAAGATCACACCTGTGCACTCCAGCCTGGGTGACAGAGTGAGAAAATGTGGGGAATCCTATCAGACAAACAACCCATCTTCTTCATTAATTAATGGGGAAAAAATCCAGAGGAACTAGGGGGTGCAGTTACAGAGAAATTAAAAGAGACTTAAGATTCATGTCAACTAAATGCAATGTACAGACCTTGTTTGGATCCTGATTCAAACAAACCTATTGTAAAAAAACAATTTTGAGCCGAACTGGACATGGACTATTAGATGTTATTAAATAATTATTATTTTATTCTGTTTGATATGTTAATAATGGTAGTGTTTCAAAAAAGGGGGGATCTTCTGGTTAGAGATATGTATGAACGTATTTATGAATGAAATGGTATGACATCTAGGATTTGCCTTAAAATATTATAGTAAACAACATAACAAAAAGTGTGATAAAGGGGGTACAGATAAAACAAGAATAGCAGAAAGTTGATCATTTTTGAAGCTGGGGATGGGTACACAGGGTTCATTGTAACATTCTCTGTACTTTAGTTAGCTTAAAAATTTTCTATAATAAAAAGAAAACCTCACCAAATGCTTCCCTGGAAATATAGCTTTTTCCTCATTATCACTACATATCATAATATCATTCATAAGTTAGAAGCAACATGAATGAGTACTCAGGGAAGAGTAGGCCAGGGAGCAGAGACAGGGATGATTAATTGGCCTGGAAATAGATGGACAGAAAAAGCTTTAGAAGCGGGTAACTTTTTGGCTGAGTGCGGTGGCTCATGCCTGTAATCCCAGCACTTTGGGAGGCCGAGGCAGGCAGATCACGAGGTCAGGAGATCGAGACCATCCTGGCTAACATGGTGAATCCCCGTCTCTACTAAAAATACAAAAAAAATTAGCCGGGCGTGGTGGCGGGCACCTGTAGTGCCAGCTACTTGGGAGGCTGAGGCAGGAGAATAGCGTGAACCCGGGAGATGAAACTTGCAGTGAGCTGAGATCGCGTCACTGCACTCCAGCCTGGGCGACAGAGTGAGACTCCGTCTAAAAAAAAAAAAAGAGAGAGAGAGAGAGAGAAGGGTAACTTTTCATGTCACGAATGTTTATTTCCATCGTTAAATTCTTTAGATGAGGAACAAATTACATACAACCAAGAATCAAACACAGATTACATATTTTTTAAAATCTACCAAATCAAACTCAGGTTAAGCCTAATAATAAGGAGCTACTACCTTCCAAGCTTTCTCTCTCTTAAATATTTAAGAAATCATACTGATGAATCTAAGAATACAATTTTCACTTTGCCCATAAAACAACTATGAGGGAAACTGCCCGGCTTAACATGTTGCTTCTACAAAATTTGCTGGCAAGTGGAGAGAAAGAGTCCTTGGTTACTTACTGAATCTTCTCAAAAGAAGCTTTTGAGATAGGTAGCAAGACTAACTTTCAGGTCCAGGCCAGTTTGATAGCTAACAAGTCACAAAAAGGAATAGCTTAAGTTAAAATTCCACTAGTCTAACTAAATTTCTACTATTAATACTTTGCCCTCACACTATCAACAACTGTATATGTAAATGATGACCTCGCTAATCCAATTTTACTGCGATCATTCTTTTACTTCACAGATGCTGATTTGTCCAAATCAGCATCTACATTACTTGGCTGATTTGGACAAATCAGCATCTACATTACTTAGCTGATAATTTAACTGATAATTTGATTTTTAATTGTTTGCATTGTGGTTTCAATAAATATGGCTTATTTTCTCAACCTGACTGAACAATAAATTCATCAATGTGAAAATACTTTTAAAGATAATTTCCCTAATGGACTTGGAAAAAATGCACAAAAGGTCAGGCGCAGTAGCTCACACCTGTAATCCCAGCACTTTGGGAGGCCTAGGCGGGCAGACCGCTAGAGCTCAGGAGTTTCAGAACAGCCTGGGCAACACAGCAAAACCCCCTCTCCACAAAAAATACAAAGAATTAGCTGGGCATGGTGGCATGCACCTGTGGTCCCAGCAACTCAGAAGGCTGGGGTGGGAGGACTGCTTGAGCCTGGGAGGCAGAAGTTGCAGTGAGCCGAGATTGCGCCACAGCACTCTAACCTGGGTGACAGAGTGAGACCTTGTCTCAAAAAAATAAACAAATAAATAAAAAGCACAATATACAGTAGCCATCTAGTCAGCCTTAATTTTAAAAAACTTTTTCCTCTAAAATCATGTAGCAGTACAAAGGTACAACAATTTCTGTCTTCATTTGCTTATGAATTTGTTTCAAAACCACATCACAATCAGGTAAGAACTTGATGTGTCTACTTAGGAAGTCATATGGTAGTGGTTATTTTCCCTGTGATTAGAAATAACCGCTAGTAAACTTTCTGTTTTTTCAGAATATTTGATATTGATGTTTCTGAATAATCTTATTTAAAAAATTCATGAACTACTAGTTTAAAATAATTAGAACACAAAAGGATCCTCAGCCAGAAAATTATATTGAGTATAATAGTCTGTATCACTGAAACTCTACAGCTTAACCTGCTTATGGTTAACATATAGTAAATGTGTATTAAATGAAAGAATACTATTTCAATGATAATACAGACCATAATTTAGGATCTTAAAATAAATTATACATAATGTGGCAAAACACAATAGACGGGGGAAAATCTGGTTAATTAGATTCTAGTATAAGCATAAGCATGTACTAGAATTTTTTTTTTTTTTTTGACAGGGTCTTGCTATCACCCAGGCTGGAGGGCACTGGTGTGATCATGGCTCGCTGCAGCCTCAACCTCCTAGGCTCAAACAGTCCTCCCACCTTAGCCCCCTGAGTAGCTGGCCACCATGCCTGGACCGGCTTTTTTTCTTCTTAAAAATTTTTTTGTAGATGAGGTCTCGCTACATTGCCAGAGCTGGTCTTGAACTCCTGACCTTAATAAGTGATCCTCTCACTCTGTCCTTCCAAAATGCTGGGATTACAGGTGTGAGCCACTGCAAATGGCCTTCCATTCTTTCCTTTTCTTTTCTTTTTTCTTTTTTTTTTTTTTTTTTTTTGAGACAGAGTCTTGCTCCATCACCCAGGCTAGAGTGCAGTGGCATGATCACAGCTCACTGTAGCTTCTACCTCCTGGCTCAAGTGATCCTCCCACCTCTCAGTCTCTCCAGTAGCTGGGATTACAAGTGCGTACCACCATGCTCAGGTAATTTTTCTATTTTTTGTAGACAGGGTCTCACTACGTTGCTCAGGCTGGTCTTGAACTCCTTGGCTCAAGTGATTCTCCCGCCTCAGCCTCCCAAAGTACCGATATTACAGGCATAAGCCACTGTGCCCAGCCAGGCCTATGATTCTTAATAATTAAATTTAAAATGTATTTTTTTCACTTCATTAATTTTAATTGCATTCATACCAATGCCAAAGTGAAAGTGAAAAGCAGCATTTTTATATGTTAGACCACTGGCCTCAAAATCAGAAGGTTAGAGTTCTAAACTAGTTTAATCAGTTAGTAGACATTTTACTGTGTGCCCATTATGTGCTCTTACAATTGCAAATAATGAGACACCAAAAGAGATCTACCATTCTTCCTTAAAAAATTCCTCCTCCCTAGGCTGGGCGCGGTGGCTCACGCCTGTAATCCCAGTACTTTGGGAGGCCGAGGCGAGTGGATCACGAGGTCAGGAGATCGAGACCACGGTGAAACCCCATCTCTACTAAAAATACAAAAAAAAAAATTAGCTGGGCATGGTGGCAGGCGCCTGTAGTCCCAGCTACTTGGGAGGCTGAGGCAGGAGAATGGCGTGAACCCGGGAGGCGGAGCTTGCAGTGAGCCGAGATCATGCCACTGCACTCCAGCCTGGGTGACAGATTGAGGCTCCGTCTCAAAAAAAAAAAAAAAAAAAAATTCCTCCTCCCTCCTTTGAGCGCTTAAGTTTGCTCACCAAGAGTTTGTCCTCGGTGTAGACACTATGCAGGTAGAGAGCTTTGCAAATATGGAGTACTTTCCCCCACAAGATCTTCAAGAGAGGGCCAGGTGCGGATATCAGGAACAGAACCTATTTCAGTAAACTGGATGTCTTTCAGGTAGGTTAGTTAGAATTTATAATGTTAGTGGTTCTCAGAGTGTGGTACTTGACCAACTACATAAGCATCACTTCAGAACTTGTTAGGCTCCATACCAAATCTACTGAATCAGAAACTCAAGAGCTTGAGCACAGGATCCATGGTTTAGCCAGCCCTACAGGTGATTCTAACTCATGCTAAAGTCTGAAAACCATTAGCCTATATTATCCAGGCTCTTTCATTTTGTTTCCAGTTCCCTGCAGCTCTAATTCATTACTAACAGAGGAGGCAGGCTTTTATTTTATCAAAATTATAATCATAAAGCATACTTCTCACAATTAAACCACAAGGGGGGTGTCTTTTAGAAAATATGGCCTACAGAAGGAAAAATGAGAACATTTAGCCGAAGAATTAGATTTTTTTTTCTTTTTTTTCTTTTTTTTTTTTTTGAGATGGAGTCTCACTCTGTCACCCAGGCTGGAGTGCAGTGGCCTGATCTTGGTTCACTGCAACCTCCACCTCCCGGGTTCAAGCGATTCTGCCGCAGCCTCCCGAGTAGCTGGGACTACAGGCATGTGCCACCACGCACAGCTAATTTTGTATTTTTAGTAGAGATGGGGTTTCACCATGTTGGCGAGGCTGGTCTCGAACTCCTGACCTCAAATGATCCGCCTGCCTAGGCCTTCCAAAGTGTTGGGATTACAGGCATGAGTCACCATGCCCGGCCCAAAGAATTAGAATTTTTACCAAAACTATAGCCCTCTATTGCTATCTATTGTACTCAGTGTTAAGGCTACAATACAGTCCTTAACCTTGAGAATCTTGGAAGAAGACAGCCTGGGCAATAAATTATTATCAAACAATGTAATGAATCCTATATGAGTATAGAACACATTTATGAGGATAGAATGGAGATAATTAATTCTGCAGAAGACTTGGTTTGGATGGACAGGAAAAGCTTTAGAAAGAGAGGGATGTGCTTGAATGAGCCTTTATAAATATATTACTGTATTATTATTATTTTTTGAGACAGGGTCTCATTCTGTTGCCCAGGCTGGAGTGTAGTGGCGTGATCATAGCTCCTCAAAATCCTGGGCTCAAGTGGTCCTCTCACCTCAGCCTCCTGAGTAGCCGGGCCTACAGGTGCATGCCATCATGCTCAGCTAATTTTTAAGTTGTTTTTTTTTGTAGAGATGGGGTCTCACTATGTTGGCCAGGCTGGTCCTGAACTCCTGGCCTCAAGTGATCCTCCCACCATGGCCTCCCAAAGTGTTAGGATTATAGGCATGAGGCACTATGTCCAGCCTCTCTATTTTTTTTGAAGGTAGAAGAACTACAAAAGCTAGCCTGGGTGTGGTGGCTCACACCTGTAATCCCAGCACTTTGGGAGGTTGAGGTGGGTGGATCACTTGAGGCCAGGAATTTGAGACCAGCCTGGCCAATATGGCGAAACCCCGTCTCTACTAAAAAAATACAAAAATTAGCTAGGTGTGGTGGCATACACCTGTAATCCCAGCTACTCGGGAGGCTAACGCACGAGAATCACTTGAACCCAGGAGGCAGAGTTTGCAGTGAGCCAAAATCGCACCACTGCACTCCAGCCTGGGCGACAGAGCAAGAATCTGTCGCAAAAAAAAAAAAAAATTATTTTAATAAAGAGTACTTATTAATTAAGTCCCCACTAATCTAGCTTTGATTTGATTAAGGGATCCTATTTCTAATAAATCCCAAAATCCAGAATTGAGTCAATGGCCAAAAGACAATATGAATAATACACCTAAAGATTCCTACCATTAATCACATTCTTTGAACCATTATTGCTCAAGTTCAGCTTCAGCTGCTGGGTACATTCACTTCATCTGTACAATCAATGATGTGTCTTTGAGGTTAATGTGAATATAAAAATTAATTTCTGTATGCCAGAAATCTATTCAGCATTTTAAGTGTATAGATTCTTTCTCGCAAAGTTACACTCTAAGCAAAAACGAAACAAAAATCTATGACTGAGATTTAAAAACAACAACAGGCCGGGTGCAGTGGCTCACACCTGTTAATCCCCGTGCTTTGGGAGGCCGAGGCAGGTGAATCACTTGAGGTCAGGAGTTTGAGACCAGCCTGGCCAACATGATGAAACCCCGTCTCTACCAAAAATACAAAAAATTAGCCAGGCCTGGTGGCGGGTGCCTGTAATCCCAGCTACTCAGGAGGCTGAGGCAGGAGAATTGCTTGAGCGCACGTGGCGGAGGTTGGAATGAGCAGAGATCACGCCATTGCACTCCAGCCTGGGCGACAGAGCGAGACTCCATCTCAATAAATAAATAAACCAACAAACAAAATAAAAACAACATAACAGAGGTATGACCAATTGCTGTCATTCAGCTTTTCATGCCCCAAGATAGCCAACCAACTGTAAATGAATTCACAATACATCATTCTTTTCCATCCTAGCTCAAGATATAAAATATCAAACTTTAGAGTCCCTTGAAATGAAATCCAATATTCAGACTGATGAAAACAAAAAGGGCTGTGTTTTTGCTTACTAAGTCACAGTTTCTAAATAACTCAAAAAGACATAGGAGAGACTAATGAATGGTTGAGTGACCTATCAGTTTAGTAAAATGTATTTGGACCATTGCATGATATGTTATTCTCACATTAAGTTAAAACTTTATCTAGGGTGTTCTGATGCATATCTTATGGCATAATATACAAACATCCCCTTACATCAAAAGCTGAAAACGATGACACAAAACTTGTACATGAATGTTCACAGCAGCATTATTTATAATAGTCAAAAAGTGCAAACAGGCCGGGCGCAGTAGGTCACACCTGTAATCCCAGCACCTTGGGAGGCCGAGGCAGGCAGATCACCTGAGGTCAGGAGTTCGAGACCAGCCTGACCAACATGGAGAAACCCCATCCCTACTAAAGATACAAAATTAGCCGGGTGTGGTGACACATGCCTGTAATCCCAGCTACTTGGGAGGCTGATGCAGGAGAATGGCTTGAACCCAGGAGGTGGAGGTTGCAGTGAGCCGAGATCGCACCATTGCACTCCGGCCTGGGCAACAAGAGGGAAACTCAGTCTCAAAAAAAAAAAAAGTGGAAACAACCCAAATGTCCCACTGATGAATGAATAAACAAAACATAGTTTATCCATGTAATGGAATATTATTTGGCAATAAAATGAAATAAAACCCAGAGATAGAAAATAGGTTAGTGGTTACTTTGGTCTAGCAGGGCAGGTTGGGAGAGTGAGGAGGAATAAGGAATGACTCAAATGGATATGGAGTTTCTTTTGGGGTGATAGAAATATTAAAACATTAACTGTGCTGATAGCTGAAGTATTCTGTAAATATAGTCATGTGCTGCATAAAATTTCAGCCAACAATGAACCACATACATGATGGTGGTCCCATAAGATTATAATGGAACTTAAAAATTCCTATCTCCTAGGGATGTTGTAGCTGTTGTAACATCGTCATAGTGCAACGCATTACTCATGTGTTTGTGGTAATGCTGGTGTCAACAAACCTACTGTGCTGACAGTCATATAAAAGTTCATCACACACAATTATGTATAGTACATACTTGATAATGATAGATGGCAATATTACTGGTTTATGTATTTATTATACTTTTTGTCATTATTTTAGAAAGTACTTCTACTTATTAAAAAAAAAAGTTAACTATAGCTGGGTGCAGTGGCTCATGTCTGTAATCCTAGCACTTTGGGAGGCCAAGGCAGGCGGATCACTTGAGGTCAGGAGTTCAAAACCAGCCTGGCCAACATGGTGAAACCCCGTCTCTACTAAAAATAGAAAAACTAGCCGGAAATTGCTTGAACCCAGGAGGTGGAAGTTTCAGTGAGCCGAGATTGCGCCACTGCACTCTAGCCTGGGTGACAGAGCATGGCTCAATCTCAATAATTATAATATAAAACAGCCTCAGGCAGCTCCTACAGGAGGTATTCTAGAAGGCACTGTTATCACAGGAGATGACAGCTCCATGTGTGTTACTGCCTCTGAAGACCTTCCAGTGGGACAAGATGTGGAGATAGAAGAGAGTAATGCCCATGATCCTAACCATGTGTAGTCCTAGGTTAATGTGTGTGTTTGTGTCTTAGAGACTGGGCCTCACTATGTCACCCAGGCAGGAGTGCAGTGGCCTGATCATGGCTCACTGTAATCCTGTACTCCTCAACTCAAGTGATCCTACTGCCTCAGCCTCCCAAAGTGTTGGGATTACAGGCATGAGCCACTGCACCTGGCCTAAACAATTTTAAAGATAGAAAAATCTTATAGAAAAAGGATATAAAGAAGGAGAAGATTTTGGTATAGCTGTATAATGGGGGTGTGTGTGTGTGTGTGTGTGTGTGTGTGTGTGTGTGTGTATGTGTCTGTGTTAAGAGATGGGATCTTGCTTTGCCACCCAGGCTGGAGTGCAGTGGTGTGATTATAGCTTACTGCGGCCTCACACTCCTGGGCTCAAGCAATCCTCCTACCTCAGCCTCCTGAATAGCTGGGACCTCAGGCACACAGTACCATGCTCAGCTAATTTCTATTTTTTTTTTTTGTAGAGACAGGGTCTTGCTATATTGCCCAGGCTGGTCTTGAACTCCTGGCTTCAAGTGATCCTGGGGCCTCGCTACATAGCCTGGACAGGAGTATGGTGGCCTGATCATGGCTCACTGCAACCCTGAACTCCTCAGCTCACTGATCCTCCCACCTTGGCCTCCCAAAGTGCTGAGATTATAAACATGAGCCACCATGCCCCAGCCTTGTGTTTTAAGTTAAGTGCTATTACAAAAGAGTTAAAAAGTTAAAAAAAAAATTAGAAGTTTATAAAGTAAAAAAGCTACAGTAAGCTAAGGTTAATTTATTATCAAAGAAACATATTTTAATACATTTAGTATAGCCTAAGTGTACAGTGTTTATAAAGTTTGCAGTAGTGTAATGTCCTAGGCTTTCATATTCACTCACCACTCACTCACTGACTAACCCAGAACAACTTCCAGTCCTATAAGTTCCACTCATGGTAAGTACCCTATACAGGTGTACATTATTATTATTATTATTATTATTTTCTTTGAGTCAAGGTTTCACTCTGTCACCCAGGATAGAGTGCAGTGGTGTGATCATGGCTCACTGCAGCCTCGACCTCCGTTAACTGAGGGCTTAAGTGATCCTCCTGCCTCAGCCTCCTGAGTAGCTAGGACCACAAGCATGCACCATCATACCTGGCTAATTTTTTAATTTGTTTGCAGAGATGGGACCTTGACATGTTGCCCAGGCTAGGTGTACCATTTTTTTTTTCAAATGTATTATACTGTTTTAGTTTTTGTTTTTTTAAGAGAAGGGGTCTCACTTTGTTGCCCAAGCTGGAGTGCAGCAGCTATTCACAGGCATGATCCCGCTAGTGATAAGAACACGAGTTCTGACCTTCAGTTTCCAACGTGGGCTGGTTCACCCTTCCTTAGGCAAACTGGTAGCCCCTGCTCCCATAAGGTCACCATATTGATGCTGAACTTAGTGCAGATACCTGATTGGCATAGCGCACTACAGGCTAGAACTCCTGGGCTCAACCAATCCTCCCCCCCAATAGCCTCCTGAGTAGCTGGGACTACAGGTGCCCATCACCATGCCCAGCTATACTGTATCTTTACTCTACCTTTTCTATGTTTAGATGCACCAATACTTACTGTTGTGTTCCAACTGCCTCTAGTATTCAGTACAGTAACATACTGTACAGGTTTGTGGCCTATGAGTAATAGGCTATACCATATAGCCTAGGTGTGTAGTAGGCTATACTATCTAGGTTTGTGTAAGAACACACTATGATGTTCACACAATGAAATCACCTAATGTTGAATTTCTGAGAACATATCCCCAGAGTTAAGCAACATATGACTGTATTAAAAACCCATTGACTTGTACACTTCAAGTGGGTGAATTTTATTGTATGTGGAAAATATCTCAATAAAGCTCCTTTTAAAAGTGGGAGATGTCTAGAGCTGAGCAAAAATTAAATGCAGAGATATAAAAAGACCTTCAGGTTCAAGTCAAACCCCTGATAGAAAGACTTCATTCACAAAGAGGAGATCTATGGCAACAGAACCTGGGTTTCTTCACTAAAGACAAAGGCACCTCTTACCTCTATCCTGAAGCACAAAGGAAGCTTGCCCTGTCCTTCTGGCTTTGTTCTCGCAAGAGAACGGGCAGAAAATCTAATTAATCAATGGTCTGGATAAAAAATTTGAGCATTGGGACATTACTGCCATATAATTAAAGAAAAAATACTTCATAAATTCAATTCTGTTTAAATTCAAATAACATCAGAATTTGTATTATGCTGTACTGTTTTTAATAACAAAGATACTATATTTTGACTTAAAAGTACAGTACTTAGGTTATTTACATACTATGAATAATTATTTGAAAAATATTCCTTTTGTTTAACCACTCATGCTAGGAAGTCAGGATACAATTAGATTTAAAATAAGTAGATTAGATGAATGCAAATGCATTAAATACAAAAACATTTAACAAACTGTATATTTAAACATATCAAAATCCACAAAGTGAAAGATTAATGTTGCTGTAAAAACTAAGTAATCCAGGCTGGGCACGATGGCTCATGCCTGTACTCCCAGGACTTTGGGAGGCCAAGGCGGGCGGATCACCTGAGGTTGGGAGTTCAAGACGAGCCTGACCAACATGGAGAAACCCTGTCTCTACTAAAAATACAAAATTAGCCAGGCGTGGTGGTGCAAGCCTGTAATCCCAGCTATTCAGGGGGCTGAGGCAGGAGAATCACTTGAACCCAGGAGGCAGAGGTTGCGGCGAGCTGAGATCATGCCATTGCACTCCAGCCTGGGCAACAAGAGCGAAACTCTGTCTCAAAAAACAAAACAAAACACACAAAAAAACACTAAGTAATCCTTAGTACATGTAAATAATTGGCTAAGTAATAACCAAATCAGCAATCCAAATTCAGATCATGAACAACAGAATGCTTTTTATACAAAAAGCATTTAATTATAGGTTCTATGTCAGTATTGTGCTACACTTGAAAGATACTGAAAAATAATATTGATAGTTTCTTTTTTTAATTGGTTCATTCAATACGTATTTATTGGATACAATTTTATACAGGATTAGGAGTTCTCAACTTTTTTGCATTCACAATTTGAAGAGATTAGAATATTCAGAAACTCACTAAACAAGTTAGCACACTTATTCTGATGGCATAATTTCTCAAAGGGCCCATAGGAACCTCCATAATCACCACACTAGTTACATGGTTGCCATTCAGTCCTGTGTGGCTATTTGAGCAGAACATTTTCTGATCTAACTACATTCGTATTTTATTAATGAGGCAAAGTGCTCACTGGCTCCAGTAAAGGCCATCTTTCTTTGGTGCTGTCTTGATGTTATACTTCTTACCTCTTACTGAAAACAAGTTGTACCTGCTCCACACATCACATCACATAACCTGCTCAGTCCTAAGTTGCACCTGACACCACTGTAATGCTAATCTGTTTATTACACATTGATCAAACTTAGAGCACACGCAGTGAAGAGTTTGTGCTATGGAACAGCTAAGAACCATAATTATTAACATTTCTTAATGATTATGTTCACTTAACATGTATTATTACTTAAAATTCTCACAACCCCCCTATAAGTAGATATAATTTATTATTCTCATTTTATAAATGAAGGAACTGAGAGAGAGAAGTTATATAACTTGTCAAGATTACACCGCCAGTAAATGGCAGAGGCAGCACTGGATCCGGGTGGCCTTATCTCCAGGTCCTGTGTTTTAACGGCTTTGCTACAGTTATCTCCCCATGGTTCCTGATGTAAAAGGAGTTCACAGACTAGAGATACATATACCATTATAATATAATATGACAGTGCTGTAACAGAAGAATGTAGGAGCACAGAAAAGCTAGGGAAATGGTCAAAGCCTTACAATAGTGAAGAAACAGCATTCAATGTTTCAAACATTACAGACACAAATTTCCCAAGAAATATGACTTAAGTTTGCTTTAAGAATTAAAATGGGCCGAGAGCAGTGGCTCATGCCTGTAATCCCAGCACTTTGGGAGGCCGAGGTGGGCAGATCATCTGAGGTCAGTTAGAGATCAGCCTGGCCAATATGGCAAAATCCCATATCCACTAAAAATACAAAAAATTAGCCAGGTTTGGTGGCGCATGCCTGTAATCCCAGCTACTTGGGAGGCTGTGGCAGGAGAACTGCTTGAACCTGGGAGGTGGAGGTTGCAGTGAGCCAAGATCGCACCATTGCTCTCCAGACTGGGTGACAGAGCAAGACTCTGTCTCAAAAAAAAAAAAAAAAAAAAGAATTAAAATATTAAAATGAAGACAGACATAAAATAATATTTGATCTAAATTCATTTTCCTATTTCTAGGTCTATGTAAGTTCTGACTTTGCTTATATAACCGTTCATTACTTTTTAGACAACATTCTTTTACTAAATTTCTAGTATAATGGCTTTTGTTTTCCTTCTAGTTCATAACATTTATTTAGGTTTTCTTTAATGCCTGTCAATAAAATTTACAATTTTTTTCCACTAAAATTTTTTGTAGATTAAAACTTAATGTACTTTATATTCTTACTACGACTGGGAAAATCATCTTTCTGAAACATTATTTTCTAATTGTTTCTGGTGTAAAAAATACAACAGACTTTTGTTTGGGTTTTTTTTTTTTTTTAGACAGGCTCTCACTCTGTCACCTAGGCTGGAGTGTAGTGTTACAATTGTAGCTCACTGCAGCCTTGACCTTCAAAGCAATCCTCCTGCCTCAGTCTCCCAAGTAGCTGGGTCTATAGGTGCATGCTACCACACCTGGCAAATTTTTTTTTACAGATGGAATCTTGCTATGTTGTCCAGGCTGGTCTCCTGGGCTCAAGTGATCCACCCACCTCAGCCTCTCAAAGTGTTAGGATTATAGGCATGAGCCACTATGCCTGGCCAGTACCTTTCATTTAATGGCAGAATTTTTCAGAAACATGTTAAAGATATAGAGTACACCAAGCTAATTTTTTTTTTTTTTTTTGGTACAGACGGAGTCTCACTATGTTGCCCAGGCTTGTCTCAAACTCCTGGGCTCAAGCAATATACCAGCCACAGTATCTCTAAGTGTGGGATTACAGGTGTGAACCACCATGCCTGGGATCATTTATGTCTTAAAAATTTTTTTTTTTTTCTGGCCTGTACCTAACTCCTTTCCTTCTGGAACTCTAGTTACAGGTATGTTAAACTGCTTGATATTGTCCCACAATATCAAGGTTCTATTAATTTTGCTTTTAATATTTTTCTCTCAGTACTTAATTCTGGACAGTTTATATCTATCTTTATAGTTTCTACTGCTTATAGAAACTATAATATATCACACTGTAGTCTAATATGAAACATCAAACTAAAAAAATAAAAACCTCTAACTTTTCTATCTCTTCCTTTTTTAATCAGGGAGAAAATGGAACATTTAAACTCCAAGGCAACTTCTATAAAGTTAAACAGGGTATTATAGAGTTCACCTCAATAAAAATTATTTCCATTTTTTTTTTTGAGGTTGGTAATTTGGCAAAATGTGGCACTACGAGTTCTGGCAGGTAATCAAATAATTTAATAGTTCATATTTACCCCAAAAACACACAAATGCCCATTAATAATTATGCTTAAGAACCTATAGAAGATATACAAGTCCTAAAAGAGCAAAAAAAGTCAGTCTTTGTGGAATTTAGACAAAAATCACTTCTAGATCTGGCCCTTACCTACCTCTTTATTTATTTATTCACTGGATATTTACTAAGCATCTGTTATGCACTAGGCAATGTGGATACAATAACGAATGGGCCAGGTGAGGTCCTGGCTCTCATGGAGCTCACATCTAATGAACAACTTTGTCTCTTGCTTTTCTTCCATATGCTCCTGCTACACAGGAACAACTAGCAGGTCTTCAAATGCACCATGTGACTTCACACTTCTGTTCCTGTCCACGTTATTCTAATTACTTAAACAGGCCCATCACTCCTCCCCTCTTTCGTATTCCAGTACTGCTGATGTCCATCTGGCAGATTTTTATGTGCTCTTCAAGACCCAGCTTCCAGTGTCTCTTCTGTGAAGCTTTTCCTGAAACCCCCACTCAGGCAGAGCTGCTTATTCCTTCCATCATGTCAGCCATGAACTTCACACAAACTTCTTTTACAATGAAATACAGTTATCTGATTACATGACTGTCCCTCACTGGATAAGTATCTCACAGATGTTTTATCTTTGAGATCCTAGAATCTAATAGTGTCTGAGGCATAATATAAGCTCTAATTTTGAAAAAACAGAAACACATGATTGGCAACATGAACAAGTTTTAAAAGGGGGTACTATGATAGATCTCTTCAAATACATTGAACTATTTATGTGTGAGAGAAATTTGCTTTCTTTCTGTATTGCAACTAACATCATAAATAACAACTGTGGCTATAAATTAAGAGAAGTAGAGAGATGGGAGAATTCTACTGGGATGATTCTAATTGTCTGGCAATGGAAATGAGATCCCTTCCACTGGAAATGTTGGAGAGAAAATGATGTTGGAAGAGGAATAGACTTATGATGCTGGAGAGAGGGGAAAAAACATGGAAATAAGGCTGAAGGTTCCTTACAAGTCACCAGAAAACAGCAACCAGAATACACAGAAAAGGAAGGTAACTCTTAAGAGAAAGGATACTTCTTGGAATTGGGAAAAAGGGAGGAGAAAAGAGACAAAAGGATTTTGATATTAAAGAAGAAGGTTTACTCAAGATAGTCTAGATATTACTGGTAAAAGGGAACTTCTCTTGAAACAGTAGAAAAAGAAATGTGGACTGGGGATGTGTGAAAAGAAGACATTTTAGAAACAGTCACTAAGGTAAGGCTCAAGTCAGTGAGACAGCCCAGATATGAAAATGTGCTTCATTTTCAAGGCCCAAAAAAGAGTTTCCAAATTTTAACATTCCTTTCTCTCCGGAAATTCTTTTTTATTTTGAGACAAGAGTCACACTCTGTTGCCCAGGCTGGAGTACACTGGCGTGATCTCGGCACACTGGAAACTCCACCTCCCAGGTTCAGGCGATTCTCCTGCCTCAGCCTCCCAAGTAGCTGGGCACGCGCCACCATGCCCCGCTAATTTTTGTATTTTTAGTAGAGATGGGGTTTTGCCATGATGGCCAGGTGTCTCAAACTCCTGACCTCAAGTGATCCGACTGCCTCAGCCTCCCAAAGTTTTGGGATTACAGGTGTGAGCCACCACACCTGGCCTATGTCCAGAAATTCTTAACATGTAACCCAGTTCACTCAGGTATTAGATTAAGTATGTTTCCTTTTACTCTAAATGCTGTTTGAAAAGCTGGTTAATTTTTCTTTTTTTTTTCTGAGACGGAGTCTCACTCTGTCACCCAGGCTGGAGTGCAGTGGCACAATCTCTGCTCACTGCAAGCTCCGCCTCCTGGGTTCACACCATTCT
The DNA here is from genome assembly GCF_000001405.40 of Homo sapiens. Taxonomy (NCBI): domain Eukaryota; kingdom Metazoa; phylum Chordata; class Mammalia; order Primates; family Hominidae; genus Homo; species Homo sapiens. The sequence goes on along the minus strand of NC_000014.9, from coordinate 74,168,576 downwards.
CCTGCCTCAGCCTCCCGAGTAGCTGGGACTACAGGCACCCACCACCACGCCTGGCTAATTTTTTGTATTTTTAGTAGAGATGGGGTTTCACCATGTTAGCCAGGATGGTCTCGATCTCCTGACCTCGTGATCCACCTGCCTCAGCCTCCCAAAGTGCTGGGACTACAGGCGTGAGCCACCGCGCCCGGCAAAGCTGGTTAATTTTTCTATCAGAACACTTACTAATTCAATACAAGTACTAATAGCATTGCTATCTCCATTAATAAGTAATAACTGTTATAACAGAGAGGACTGTAAGATTAAAAAAACAGAAATATTATAAACAATGGTGCAATTCAAGATGGACACTGGCTGTTTATTTTGTATATCTTCTGTTGAAAGCAAAAATAATAGAATCCTTAATTCATGTAGTTGAAAAGAATATCTGATCTAAACTCCCACCTAATAACCTGCAGTATCTCATAACATTCTATAGTTAATTGCAGAGCTCTGCCTGAGCATTACCACTGATAGGAAACTCAGTACTTCTTGAGGGTCCATTTAATTCTTGGACATTTGGAAAGTTCTTCCAAGAGTGTGGCAAAACAAATAAACAAACCCCAAAACAAAATCCAACTTCTCTCTAACTTCTCATTGTTCCTAATTCTGCCCTCTGAAATGTAACAAAGATCACTGCCCAACTGCCCATGGTGTAGTCAAGGTAGATAAATGGAATATAATAACTGTAAGTAAAAGAAAGGAAGCCAGGCTCACTGGCTTACACCTGTGGTCCTAGTTACTCAGGAGGCTGAGGCAGGAGGACTGCTTGAGTTCAAGAGTTCAATTCCAGCCTAGGCAACATAGTGAGACCCTCCCCCATCTCTATAAAAAATATAAAAACTGAAAAAAGAAAAAATAGGTGCAGTATTAGGGACAATACTTCACTTGTCAAATAGCATTTAGAGTAAAAGGAAACATACTTAATCTAAAACCTGAGTGAATTGGGTTACATGTTAAGAATTTCTGGACATAGGCCAGGCATGGTGGCTCACACCTGTAATCCCAACACTTTGGGAGGCTGAGGCGGGTGGATCACTTGAGGTCAGGAGTTTGAGACCAGCCTGGCCAACATTAGCCAACTATTGACTAAGTCAATAAACACCCGTCCCCTGAATGTTTTAAGAGCAATGAAAATAACCTCTTATATCTTCCTTGATGCTAGGATTCTGTTCAAACCCAGAGGGGTTATGAAAATGGTACAATTCTATTCAGTATTTCTTCAGATGAAATACACCATTAGATAAAATAACATGTGATTCTATAGCCAAACAACAATCCATTAAAAAGACAAGTGACAGCTCAACCCTGTCTCCAGGAACATTTGTCTCCTATGCTTTTATCCTTCATGGATTTGAGTTGAATGACATTTGCTGCACGTTGATAATTAGTTTTTCTTTCTTTTTCTAAAAAAAAAAAAAAAAAAAAGCAGCAGAGGCCAGTGTTGGCCTCTTCCCCAGGAGAGATACCAGCCTGAGTGGTTTGGGGATACATGCCTTGATGAGATTTGCACTATGACTCTTGAATGCATGCACCATCCCAGCAACACCTGCTCTCCTGACAGGCCACCTGGGACTGACAGAAAAAAGAACCATCAATTCCACTCTCCCCAGAGAGAACACCCAGACCCAGTGCTAAATGTACAATTCAATGTCATGTCAAAAAAGTAAAATTCCATCCACCAAAACCTACCAATTACCAGAGGTCAATATTTAGAGGACCTTAATAATGAAAATTGGCATAGAATTTTATTTTTTCCCAAGTGAATTGCAATCCAGCTAGATATTCAGGAAAATACCCCTTACACCAAGGGAAAAAGATGGGAAAAAGTGAAATTCCTTAATCAAACTGTGTGATCAACATATTGCTAAAGCCTTGAATTTTGGGTTCTATTTCCCATCATGAGACAGAAATATAGTTGCTTCCCACCCAGAAAATGAATTATATATTTTGGATTTTTTGGGCACACAGATTTCATGACACAAAACTGAAAATATGTGAGCAATAACGTTTTAATTTAAAGATCTTGGCCGGGCGCGGTGGCTCATGCCTGTAATCCCAGCACTTTGGGAGGCAAGTGGGCGGATCACCTGAGGTCAGGAGTTCGCGACCAGCCTGACCAACACGGAGAAACCCCATCTCTACTAAAAATGCAAAATTAGCCAGCGTGGTGGCGCATGTCTATAATCCCAGCTACTCTAGAGGCTGAGACAGGAGAATCGCTTGAAGTCAGGAGGCGGAGGTTGCGGTGAGCTGAGATCGCGCCATTGCACTCCAACCTGGGCAACGAGAGCAAAACTCTGTCTTAAAAAAAATAAAAAATAACTTAATTGTTAAAAATAGATGAAATAGCTGGGCGCAGTGGCTCACGCCTGTAATCCCAGCACTTTGGGAGGCTGAGGTGGGCAGATCACCTGAGGTCAGGAGTTCGAGACCAGCCTGATCAACATGGAGAAACCCCGTCTCCAGTAAAAATACAAAATTAGCCGGGAATGGTGGCGCATGCCTGTAATCCCAGCTACTCAGGAAGCTGAGGCAGGAGAATTGCTTGAAGCCGGGAGGTGGAAGTTGCGGTGAGCTGAGATCATGCCATTGCACCCTAGCCTGGGCAAGAAGAACGAAACTCTGTCTCAAAAAAAAAAAAAATTGGTGAAATAGGTAATCGGAGGGACAGAGACTGGATATTGTAACATTTTTGGAAACAAGGCTAAACAATGTTTAATAAGAAAATAGGCCCAGCACAGTGGCTCACACCTGTAATCCCAACACTTTGGGAGGCGGAGGTGGGCGGATCACTTGAGGCCAGGAGTTCGATAGCACCCTGGCCAACATGGTGAAACCCCATCTCTATCAAAAATACAAAAATTAGTCAGGCGTGGTGGCATGTGCCTGTAATCCCAGCTACTTGGGAAGCTGAGGCAGGAGAATCGCTTGAACCCTGGAGATGGAGGTTGCAGGGAGCCAAGATTGTGCCACTGTGTACTTCAGTCTGGGTGACTGAGACTCTGTCTCAAAAAAAAAAAAAAAGAAAAGAAAACCTGTAATTCTCCATTAACTCCTTCCCATGGCAATCACTTTCACTCTGTTTAGCTGATTCTTTTATATTACCTTTATGTCTTAAATGACTAAATAATATGCCTGTATTCCTAGGAATGAACCAAAGGAATGAAAAAAAAAGTGCCTGTATTGCTACCTCCTGATTTTTCAATTTGAGGCATTTTCTATTGACTTCCCCCAATACAGGAAGTGATAACTTGACTCTTTTTTTCCCCCTTCCCACCTTAATTCCTCATAATACACATGACATGCATCCTATCTCCTATCTTCTCAGGGTTATACATGGTAACTTAAATTAACATTCAGTTTCTACATTATTATGATTATACAAATACTATTTATAGCTAAGGCATATTATTAACTATGATTACTTTTCCTTACTTGCACATTTTTTTTTGTTTTCCCTGAGTTTTTCAGTTTGCTTGGTTTTCTCTGTACTTATCTCTAAATCAACCACAGAATCGACTATGTCTGTCTGCTGTCTAAACTTAAGATATTGAAACGTGGTAAATCATGCGATTTATCAATTTTACCTTCTTGAAGGCATATTCTGTTTTCTCCAAGTTGCCTTCCATTCATTGCCTTCAGTCCTTATTTTTCATTTTAGGGGCTTTTCTCAAACATTGGTAATTTCTTTTCCTATGTAAGAATAGGAGACTAAAAAGCTGCTTGAAAACTCAAGTAGGAGCTAGGCTTGTTGACTGTAAGCTTTGCTACAGTGTGATCAGGCTGTTTAGTTGTAGAACTTCCAGTGTCAGTGCCTTTATTCTTCTTGGGCTGATCAGATTCCCCAGATTAGTCTCTTCTAATTTCCTGACCGGAGAGTGAAGGCCTGGGTGTGGAGGGAGAGATGGCCTCAGCATATAATGCGTGCATAATTTGCTACATTTTCAGTGCAGGCCGGGCATGGTGGCTCACACCTGTAATCCCAGCACTTTGGGAGCCCGAAGCAGGCGGATCACTTGAAGTCAGGAGTTCGAGACCAGCCTGGACAACATGGTGAAACCCTGTCTCTACCAAAAAATATAAAAATTAGCTGGGCATGGTGGTGCCTGCCTGTACTCCCAGCTACTCAGGAGGCTGAGATGGGAGAATCCCTTGAACCCAGGAGACAGAGGTTGCAGTGAGCCGAGATCGTGTCACTCCACTCCAGCCTAGGTGACAGAGTGAGACCCTGTCTCAAAAGCAAAAAAAAACAAAAACGGCTGGGCGCAGTGGCTCACGCCTGTAATCCCAGCACTTTGGGAGGCCGAGGCAGGCGGATCACGAGGTCAGAAGATGGAGACCATCCTAGCTAATACGGTGAAACCCCATCTCTACTAAAAATACAAAAAATTAGCCGGGCATGGTGGCGGGCACCTGTAGTCCCAGCTACTCCGGAGGCTGAGGCAGGAGAATGGCGTGAACCCGGGAGGCGGAGCTTGCAGTGAGCCGAGATTGCGCCACTGCACTCCAGCCTGGTCGACAGCACGAGTCTCTGTCTCAAAAAAAAAAAAAAATTTCAGTACAGACCCCATCTTCCACTGGTCTAGTATCCACCGGTTGAGTAACCATTGTGTTTTAACTTTAGAGAATAAAGCTCCAGTCTTTTGTGGGAGAGAATAAAGCAGGTGATATAGGTATGTGACTCCTAAATACACTTTAATCCTCCTTATTTAAGCCATCTCCTCCTTCACCTGTACCACCAATCTTCAGCCTTTGAAGTTTCGTGAACTGCCTTGGTTCTTGGCTTTCCTCACTTTGTATTATTTTTCATAGGCTTGCTAAATTCACATACTTTCCACCTTCCAAAATCTTGCTGCTGTTGTCATCTCTCTTGTTCTCTCCTTGAGGGCTCTTATATTTTTTAAAAAAATTGTTTTAGTAGGGTTTCGAAAGAAAAGCCAGAGTGTACATTAAAACCATCATTAACCTTAAAGTGCCCTCCACATTTATTTTTCACTTCAGATGTCTTTAGCTTTTTCCATGATTATAACTGTTTTGTCATCCCCCCCACTCCTACCTTGGTTTTGTTTTTACATTTCTAATGTTAGCTATATTCTTTCTAGAGAGCGAGAGACAACTGGCAGACTATTAATAGCTTCTGAAAAAGTAGCAACGGAGGCTGGGTGCAGTGGCTCACGCTTGTAACCCAAACACTTTGGGAGGCAGAGAGGTGGATGGATTGCTTGAGGTAAGAAGTTTGAGACCAGCCCGGGCAATATGGTGAAACCCCGTCTCTACAAAAATACAAAAATTAGCTGGGCATGGTGGTGTGCACCTGTAGTCCCAGCTACCTGGAGGCTGAGGTGAAAGGATGGCTTGAGCCCAGGAGGTTGAGGCTGCAGTGAGCTGAGATTGTACCACTGTACTCCAAGCCTGCAGACAGAGCCAGACCCCGTCTCAAAACAAGAACAAAAAAGAAGGTAGCAAGGGAGAATAGAAAGGGTAAGTGCCTACCTGTTCCTTGACTGCTTTGATGGCTATGTTTCCATTTTCTTACTTAATTGTAAATATAAAATGATTCCATCTATTCAACATGCATTCGTATAGTCCTATTCTGTAATATACAGAAGTAATATAAAGCACAGTCCCTGAGTTCACTACAAGGGCCTTACAATTTAGCTGAGAAGACAAGCATAAATAACAATTGAAGAACAAATAAGGTTGTTAGGAAAGGTGCTAATGGAAGACAGGAAGAGGAGAGCTCAATGTCGTTAAAAAGAGAAAAGTTGGGAGAGAATATAACAATTCAAGAAAAATGAAATGATTAGAAGAGAAAATTAGTCATACATGAAATTAAGAAAATTCGGCTGGGCGCAGTGGCTCACACCTGTAATCTCAGCACTTTTGGTGGATGAGGTGGGTGGATCCCTTGAGCCCATGAGTTTGAGACCAGCCTGGGCAACATAATGATACCCCATCTCTAATATTTTTTTTTCAATAAAAAAATAAATAAATAAGGAAAGTAAGAAAATTCAATGTGGCTAAGAGGGTGGGAGAGCAATCTTTTTTTTTTTTTTTTTTTTGTGAGATGGAGTCTTGCTTTGTTGCTCAGGCTGGAGTACAGTGGCGATTTCCTCTCACTGCAACCTACATCTCCTGGTTTCAAGCGATTCTCCTGCCCCAGCCTCCCAAGCAGCTGGGATTACAGGTGTGCACCACCAAGCCCAGCTAATTTTTGTATTTTTAGTAGAGACGAGATTTCACCATATTGGCCACGCTAGTCTCAAACTCCTGATCTCAAATGATCTGTCCACCTCAGCCTCCCAAAGTGCTGGGATTACAGGCGGCAATTTTTTATTCACACTTATGCTTTGTTATCTTCCAATTACTGTCAGATTTTTTATTTTTGAAAATTTTGTTAAAACCTGTTAATTGAATGATAGTTATCAACCCCATGATGCAAAATAAAGTTAACTTGTAATATTTAAAGTTACACAAAAATTTTACTCACTGTGCCAGTTATCCATTTACTGTCTCTCGCTTCCTAACTCACCCTTTGCCCTGCTTTGTGATACTGGAGTTGGACCCAACAGCAGGCTACATTTCTTCTCTGTCACTTAGCCTGGTGCTTTGCTTTGCCAATAAAGGGCACTGGAGGGAGGCTGCAAAGCTGAGGCAGGAAAAAGGCCTTTTCTTCCTTCTTGCACCGTGTGGCTCTTCTGTGCAGCGACAAGCAGGTTGGCGTGCAGGGTCTCAGCTATGTTCACCTTGGCAATGGCAGTCCTTACAGTTCAGTGGTGGGGCTCCCTCCCCCAAAGATTCTTCACTGCCATCAGGTGGGCTGCTCCGGCAATGCACCGGCAGAGTGTTCCCGTGGCCATGTGTTTTCCCTTCAGAGGGCTGAACCTCAGCCTTGTGGGGACCTCCACTAAGTTCCTCTGTTGACTCTCCTTCAGTCCTAGGGGTTAGCAGCTTTCTGCTACCTCTGTACACCGTTGACTCTTCTTTTCCTTTCAGAAGTTAACCACCTTTCACCTAATTAACATTTTTTATTTTAAATTTTCCCTGTTCAGACCGGGCACGGTGGCTGACGCCGGTAATCCCAGCACTTTTGAGAGGCCAAGGAGGGTGGATCACCTGAGGTCAGGAGTTTGAGACCAGCCTGGCCAATGTGGCAAAATCTCATCTCTACTAAAAATACAAAAATTAGCTGGGCATGGTGGTGCATGCCTGTAGTCCCAGCTACTTGGGAGGTTGAGGCAGGAGAATCGCTTGAACCCAGGAGGCGGAGGTTGCAGTGAGCCGAGATCATGCACTGCACTCCAGCATGGGCAACAGAGTGAGACTCTGTCATAAATAAATAAATAAATAAATTTTTCCCTGTTCAAATTACTCCTGACTGTTCTTGGCTAATATGATTACCCTAAAAGACCAAATATATGAAACACAATGTGATACTAATTAAGGTCTATCCCCAAATCCTAATGTTAAGACAATCATGAATATAAGGTTACCCAAACCATAAGTTCTATGTACTGAAAAACATGATGAGTAAAGAACAAACTATGTCAAAGCAAGTTCTGTATTTTGTTAAGATAAAATTACAAGATTAGTGGCTGACGAGAACGCAAAAGATGAAATAACCTGATTATAAGAAAGCATTTAATATTGCTTCTCCTGGCATCTTCCTTGCAAAATTAATTAAAACTAGCTAGGATATATGAGTCTCATGAATTGAAAACTGGCCTCAAGACCACAAGGAGTGATTATAAACTGCCTTAAATCACACTGAGCAAAGTGTCTAGTAGAAATGCCCAGAGAGTATTAGATTGGTTATAATCCAGTATTTCCATTAGTGCTTGAGAAAGTAAAGAGTAAGTTAGTTAGTGTTTAGTAGACTTTAACTAGAAGGGATTTCTGAAAACCGGTATGGCCTAAACTGTAGAAGACTTAGAAAAATGGAAAAGATATACTTTTTTCAAAAGGCAAACCCTTTCCCTTTACTATGAATAATTAATTTAAAGAGTAATTTTCACCTAATGATCATGAAATCTCCATATGCATATGGAACTACATAAAATAGTGAAAAATTAAAGGTTTTTAAATCTAGGCTAAGAACGGCAGCAACCTTGGGGACCTAATTCCTTTTAGTCTATAGAGATTATAAACTCCTATAGAGAGAAGGGTATTTGGGCCCATAAATAATCCTTCACACAAGTACATCATACAGCAGCTTGAGCTAATGCTAGAATTGTCCATTCCTTCTGAGGGCTGTGAGGCAAAGCTCTGTTCCAGGCCTCTCTCTTTGGCTTGTAGATGGCATCTTCTCCCTGTGTCTCTTTTCACTGTCTTCCCTCTATGCATGTCTGTCTCCATGTCCAAACTTTTCCTTTGTATAAAGACTTCAGCCATATTGGGATGAGGCCCCACACAATGACCTCATTTTAACTTAATTACCTCTGTAAAGAGCCTATCTCCAAATAAGGAAGAGGACTCCAACATATCTTTTTCAGGGGACAAAATTCAATCCATAACAGAGATCTCTTAAAAAATCTGATAAAAGTCATAGAAACTCTCTGCTGAAAATTATACATGTACACACACAAACACAATTTCATAATGGTGCCAAAGTTGAGAACGCTTGCTGTATGGTAGGTTTGTCATAGCACTTCATAAAGACAGCTGTAGGCAGGGCACGGTGATTCACACCTGTAGTCACAGCACTTTGGGAGGCCAAGGCAGGCGGATCACTTGAGGTCACGAGTTCGAGACCAGCCTGGCCAACATGGTGAAACCCCGTCTCTACTAAAAATACAAAAATTAACTGGGCGTGGAGGCACATGTCTATAATCCCAGCTACTCAGGAGGCTGAGGTGGGAGAATTACTTGAACCCAGGAGGTGGAGGCTGCAGTGAGCTGAGATCATGCCACTGCTTCTAGCCTGGGTGACAGAGTGAGACTCCATCTCACCAAAAAAAAAAAAAAAAAAAACAAACCCCACATATGAGGACTCTAGGTTAAGAACCATGGCTACAGAATCTGCCTGGACAAGACAGACAATTTGAGCATTTATCCACACATGTACAGAAACTTAAATCAGTAATTGTGTAAGTAGTAACATTATACTGCAGATAATTCTAATGGTACTCTGTTACGTATATACAAAGGCAGGCAGGAGATATTTTGCTGAATGAAGGTTATGCTAAGATCACCAGAAAGCTTTAGGAAAGAGAATTACCAAGAGATCTTCTCTTAAAAGAATAAAGCCAATGACACTATTTTATTTAAAAATTGTAGGGAGAACTTGGGTAAGATTTTTTTTTAATCTCAGAATTTCTGGTATTAAATCTTGTAATTAAATAAAAAGATACACTCTATACTGAATATAATACAAATAAGAAAATATATTTCACTTGCATTAATCTGCTAATGTTAAATTAGATTTAAAACATGTAGTTTATAATAGTTAAGACCCAACCACTAGGAATACAGAGCCTTTAAATGTTTGTCTCCTGTGGCCCCAGGAACCCTGTGTTGGAAAGAGCTCTGAGGCCCAGCAATACAGTTGGAAGCAGAGATTAGAGAGACCTGGGAGGAAAATTATAACCATCTGGATATAACATCAATGTAACTTGCAACATAAGAAGTTGCAAGAAAATTCTGAAATTTTGTGTTATTTGGCTTTGAGTAATAGCATTCAAAATTATTAAGGGCCATTTGTGAACTGTGGTGATAGAGTTAAATAAATTCGATTTCTGATCTCTAGAAATAAATAACTTACGGCTGGGCGCAGTGGCTCACGCCTGTAATCCCAGCACTTTGGGAGACTGAGGTGGGCGGATCACCTGAGGTCGGGAGTTCAAGAACAGCCTGACCAACATGGAGAAACCCCATCTCTACTAAAAATACAAAATTAGCCGGGCGTGGTGGCACATGCCTGTAATCCCAGCTACTCAGGAGGCTGAGGCAGGAGAATCACTTGAACCCGGGAGGTGGAGGTTGCAGTGAGCTGAGATCGTGCCATTGCACTGCAGCCTGGGCAACAAGAGCAAAACTCTGTCTCAAAAATAAATAAACAAACAAGTAAATAAATAAAAATAAAAAAGAAAGAAAGGAAGAAATAACTTACGACAGCAGTAGGGGGCGGGCCACGCACGGTGGCTCACGCCTATAATCCCAGCACTTTGGGAGGCTGAGGCGAGAGGATTACTTGAGGTCAGGAGTTTGAGACCAGCCTGGCCAACATGGTGAAACTCCATCTCTACTAAAAATACAAAAATTAGCCGGGCATGTGACGCGCACCTGTAATCCTGGCTCTCGGGAGGCTGAGGTACAAGAATCAGTTGAACCTGTGAGGCGGAGGTTGCAGTGAGCCGAGATCACGCTACTGTGCTCTAGCCTGGGCAACAGAGGGAGACTCTATCTCAAAAAAATATATATATATATATATATAGCAGTGATGATAGAAAGCATAGACACCTTAATTGTCTTAACAAGAAAGGTTTCCTCCATTGCTGCAAACAAAGTTAAATTATAAAGTGAATGTCATAAGGGCAAATTGTTGAAAATCTGAACAACAATATACCCCTGAAGTTGAAAGAAAGAATTGTGAACATTTGAAACACCATCTGGCAAATGATGCACAAAGCCCTTAATCTGAGACCAAGAAGTTCCACATTTGTTCTTCCATAGGAAATCCCCAGAGCCTCAGGTGTAGATCCCATAGAATGATGACACTACGGAAAGCCTGGATCAGTGTCAGGAAGGCACTTTGTGAAAGCCTGAGAATTTGAATGTTATCTTGTAGGACCCAAGGAGACATAGAACTTTGATAAGCAGGAGTATGCTGAGCACGGTGGCTCATCCCTGTAATCCCAGCCTGGGCAGCACAGAGCAATCCCATCTCCACAGAAAAAAAAAATATCAAAAAATGAGCCAGGTGTGGTGGTGAGTAGTCCCAGGTACTTGGGAGGCTAAGGTGGGAGGATCCCTTCAGTCCAGGAGGTCGAAGCTGAGGTGGGCCAAGTTCACACCACTGCACTCCAGCCTGAGTGACAGAGTGAGACCCTGTCTCTAAAATAAATAAATTAATTAAAAAATATATATATATATATAGCAGGAGTATGCCATGATTCACTTTGTTTTCAAAGAAGTATCTGTGGTTAGCCAAGATACAGAATCAACCTAAGTGTCTATCAACAGATGAATGGATAAAGAAAATGTGGAGGCCAGGTGTGGTGGCTCATGCCTATAATCCCAGCACTTTGGGAGGCTGAGGCGGGAGGATCACCTGAGGTCAGGAGTTCAAGATCAGCCTGGCCAACATGGAGAAACCCTGTCTCTACTAAAAATACAAAAATTAGCTGGGTGTGGTGGCACATGCCTGGAGTC